>NC_000004.12:114830471-114981987 GCF_000001405.40 Homo sapiens
ATTTCTCTTGTTGAAGGCAGATAATCTGTTAGATAATTCAGGTACCTATATTCTTACAGAAAACTCTAATGTCGTTTTGCTCACATAGCTGCACTGAGTTATAAAAGAAAGGATGTGTGGCCTAATTTGTTTTTAAAAGTCAAATATGTAAGAATTTTTGTTTAGGACTAACAGGAGAGGAAAAACGGAAGAATGAACCAAATAGGAAGGGAAATTTTAAGTTCATTACTATGGGACTTGCTGCATGCATAAAACATCGAAAAGGTTTGCATTTTTGCTGCTCAGCAGATGTTTTAGAAGGATGAAGCATAATTGACTGGGATATAAAGTTAATTAGTTGCAGAATATTTTGTTGCCCTGGGCCCATTCCTATAATACTGGTGCACCTGCAATTTGCTTCTGTACATATGTGAATTCATTTAGGGGGAGAGGGAAGTTTTCTTCACAGTTCTCTGCCCAACCTATTATTAGAGACCTGAACCTTGCAGTCCAAGTTGTCCTAGTACATGTTGTAAATTAAAATTAAATACATCACTAGTTAAATGGATAAAAGAAAGAGTCATTTCCAACCTGGACTTTTCTTTTTTTTTTTGAGACGGAGTCTCGCTCTGTCGCCCAGGCCGGACTGCGGACTGCAGTGGCGCAATCTCGGCTCACTGCAAGCTCCGCTTCCCGGGTTCACGCCATTCTCCTGCCTCAGCCTCCCGAGTACCTGGGACTACAGGCGCCCGCCACGGCGCCCGGCTAATTTTTTGTATTTTTAGTAGAGACGGGGTTTCACCTTGTTAGCCAGGATGGTCTCGATCTCCTGACCTCATGATCCACCCGCCTCGGCCTCCCAAAGTGCTGGGATTACAGGCGTGAGCCACCGCGCCCGGCCTCCAACCTGGACTTTTCAATCTGCTCTTTGCCTGTCACAATCCTTTCTCCTGTTTTCATTAATTTCCCAAGAGGAAAAACAATTCAGCATGCTGTATAAAATGAGATGAAGTTGGCATAACAGTGCCCCTAAACATTGTTTTCTGCCTCAGGATGAGAATATTTAACTGCATTAAGGTAAAATACAGCCCTGGCAGCAAAGTCAACATATTTATACACATGCTGAGAGCATCTCCTTTGCTCTCAGGTAATGCCGAGGTCTCAGGATGGGCTGTGGTCTCTCCTTGTTATCCACAGCAGCTGTTGTAAGGCACAGCTTAATACAATCAGAGAAAGGAGAGCCCTCCAGAATACCGAAAGTCATTTTTTTTAGATAGGGTTGTCATAACCTTGAATCTACATGATTTTGCTGTCCTGGTTTCATTTATTGCATTGGCAACTTCATATGCCTTAAGTCTAACAAAGGACATTTATCCTCTCTAAGTTATATCAATTCATTGCTTTGTGGTTTTACTTTAGTAGGCATGAAATTGTGAAATTAAGATGCAAAGCCTGCCTCAATATAACTGTTAGGCAACTTTTAGTACATGAGTTGGTTGTGGTTTGAGTTTTTTTTATTCTACTGAACATCACTATAGTTATTAATTTTTGTGATGTGTGAGACATATTAAAAACGACATATTTTGTACTTGTTTGTAATCTCTCCTTCAAAAGTGTAATTTTACAGGTTTATTGAACCATAAGCAACTATTTTTCATAAACAGGATAGAAACATTACCTCAACTACGGCTGAGAGGCAGGAAAAGAAAGCCAACATCAGTAACTATTAATACAAACATATTATAGGAAGCTTCGTTTACTTAATTAACAGGAATAGGCCTTGTGTTGTTGTTATTTCCATGTGTAGGTAAAAACTTCATTAAGGTTGTTTTAGTGGATAAGGAACAACCCAATCTTATTACTGCTTTTCCTGTTCCTCTGTTAGCCTCTCTAATTGTCTAATTGCTGGTTCTAATCTGCTGCGAACTGGGAAATTACATAATTGTGCTTGTTAGAATTTTGTCAAAATTTCACAGGTTTTGTATCAGACCTTGTGGGAGAGGCTTTTATGAATAAAGTACAATCCCTTTTAAGGTATATTTTGGCTACTTGTTTTTGTTTGTTATTCTGCTTCTTTTACATTTCTCCCCATTTTTAATTATAAAAATATATGGTTTTATTTTCCCAAGATGACAGCAATCATATCTCCCATCCCACATTCATTCCCACTGGTGATGCTGTCCCACCCCACCAAGAGGTGCAGTCTTGTTTTTCTCCCCTTGGATTTGGACTGGCTTTAGTGACTATTGTAACAAGTAGAATGTAGCCTAAGTTATACTGTGTGACTGGCAGGTCCAGGTCAGAGAAGGACTTGGCTGTCTTGGACCACATGCTCCCTTGACTTATTGCTCCCTCTTGGAACACAGCCACCACAAGGTGAGAAAGCCAAGTCATCCAGGAGGCCTCATGGAGAGTCTTCAACCCACTGATCTCAGCCTTTGAGCCATGCCAGTCCAGGATTCAGAGACGTGAGTAAAGGAGACTCCAGATGATTTCAGGTCCCAGTCATCTGAGTCAAAGCCAGATATTCAAGTCTTCCAGGCTGTGGCTCTAAACATCATGAGCGAAGACAAGCCATCCTTCTGTATCCTGTCTAATTCCTGACCCACAGATTCCATGAGCATAATAAAATAATGGTCATTATAAGCCACTAGGCTTTGGGATGGTTTGTCATGCAACAATAAATAGCTGGAACAGTATACATGATTATATTTGGTTATAAATAATTTAATAAATACATAATAAAACATGAATATACTCATTTCCCAATTCTGTCCTACATATTGCATTTCATTTCTAACCTGTAAATTTCTTGAAAGAGGAGACAATATCTTTTTCACCTTTGTAAACTAAATTTCTAGGACACTTTCTGCACAGGTAGGCATATAAAAAATTTACTTAATCAAACTGATAACAGGGAAAACTCACAAAAAGAAGAATTTGCAATAATATAACATATACTTTACAAAATAAAGTATTTCTCATATTTAAAAGAGAAACACTACATGATTGATGAGGATATTCCTTTGATTGCTTGTAGGTAGCATAGGATGTATAAATTCTAGCTAGTATTAATGATGTTATATACACACCTACCAGTGATAATTTATGATGGCAAATAATGGAAATGAAATCAAGCATGACAATAGACTCACGTTAGTGCTTCAGAGTAATTATAACGAGGTGTAACTCCCAGAAACTTCTGGACTTCATCCATCACAGTAGCTGGGTCAGATCTCAGCTGCTGTCCATCAATAATTAGCAACTGTAAAGTCAGAAATAGTCACTTTATGAAGAAAAAAATTAAATTGAATAGACTGTGATGCCTTCCTTTACCTGGTGTGACATTCATAAATTAGATCAGTGTGAATAGGAAGCAAATATGCCCTACTTAGAATACATCCGAATGTTTATTATTCTTGCATCCTTCCACATAAACAATAAAGTTTGCCATAGGCATCATTTCTTGTGAATTATCAAGTTATAGCCCTTAACTTGCTTTTTGTAAATCAGAAGTAAACATAGACACTTTCTTGATTTAGTGCTTCAGTAGAAACATAATTTTCCATTTGTTGTGTGATCAGATAATTATCCAGCCTACCAAATTCCTATTAGCTAACCCTGGAGCTTAGGGCTCAGAAATAGTGGTCATCCAAATGAAAATCACCCATCTAATCTTAAACAAACAAGACAGAGGGAGGAGGGAAATGTTTGTCCATGCCTTACTGATCATTGGATCACTGCCCTAGAATATCATAATTGTCAAAGGAATACTGGAAAAGGCCGGGCGCAGTGGCTCACACCTGTAATCCCAGCACTGTGTGAGGCTGAGGTGGGTGGATCACCTGAGGTCAGGAGTTCGAGACCAGCCTGACCCACAAGGTGAAACCCTGTCTCTACTAAAAATACAAAAATTAGCCAGTCATGGTGGCAGGCTCCTGTAGTCCCAGCTACATGGGAGGCTGAGACAGGAGCATTGCTTGAACCCAGGAGGCCAAGGTTGCAGTGAGCCAAGATCGTGCCACTGCACTCCAGCCTGGGTGATGGAGCGAGACTCCATCTCAAAAAAAAAAAAAAAAAAAAAAGGAATACTGGAAAAAGGTCAATGGTAAGGCCCAGCTACTAGGGCTTCAATTTGCCCTGAGCTGGAAGATAGAATATTAAAGTTATGCTTTTTTTGTTAAGTCTCTGCCAGGTTTTGATATCAGGATGATGCTGGCCTTATAAAATGAGTTAGGGAGGAGTCCCTCTTTGTAACTCTGGTAGAATTCGGCTGTGAAGCAGTCTGATCCTGTGTTTTTGGTGGTAGGCTATTAATTACTGCCTCAAATTTAGAACTTGTTATCGGTCTATTCAGGGATTTGACTTCTTCCTGGTTTAGTCTTGGGAAGGTGTATGTGTCCAGTAATTTATCCATTTCTTCTAGATTTTCTAGTTTATTTGCATAGAGGTGTTTATAGTATTCTCTGATGACAGTTTGTATTTCTGTGGGATCAATGGTAATATCTCCTTTATCACTTTTGATTGTGTCTATTCGATTCTTCTCTCTTTTCTTCTTCATTAGTCTAGCTAGCTAGTGGTCCATATATTTTCTTAATCTTTTCAAAAAACCAGCTCTTGGATTCATGGATTTTTTGAAAGGTTTTTCATGTCTATCTCCTTCAGTTCTGCTCTAATTTTCTAATTTTAGTTATTTCTTGTCTTCTGCTAGCTTTTGAATTTGTTTGCTCTTGCTTCTCTAGTTCTTTTAATTATGATGTTAGAGTGTTGATTTTAGATCTTTCCAGCTTTCTGTTGTCATTTAGTGGTATAAATTTCTCTCTTAAGACTGCTTTACCTGTGTCCCAGTGATTCTGGTATGTTGTCTCTTTATTTTCATTTATTTCAAAGAACTTCTTTATTTCTGCTTTAATTTTGTTATTTACCCAGTAGTCACCCAGGAGCAGGTTGCTCAGTTTCCGTGTAGTTGTGCGGTTTTGAGTGAGTTTCTTAATCCTGAGTTCTAATTTGATTGCACTGTGGTCTGAGAGACTGTTTGTTATGATTTCCATTCTTTTGCATTTGCTGAAGAGTGTTGTACTTCCCATTACGTGGTCAATTTTAGAATACATGCTGTGTGGTGTGGAGAAGAATGTATATTCTGTTGATTTGGAGTGGAGAGTTCTGTAGATGTCTATTAGTTCCATTTAGTCCAGAGCTGAGTTCAATTCCTGGATATCCTTGTTAATTTTCTGTCATTGTTCTAATATCGACAGTGGGGTGTTAAAGTTTCCCACCATTATTGTGTGGGAGTCTAAGTCTCTTTGTAGGTGTTTAAGAACTTGTTATATGAATCTGGGTGCACCTGTATTTGGTGCATATATATTTAAGATAGTTAGATCTTCTTGTTGCGTTGATCCCTTTACTGTTATTTAATGCCCTTCTTTGTCTTTTTGGATCTTTGTTAGTTTAAAGTCTGCTTTATCAGAGACTAGGATTGCAACCTCTGCATTTTTTTTTCTTTCCACTTGCTTTGTAATATTCCTCCATTCCTTTATTTTGAGCCTATGTGCGTCTTCGCACGTGAGATGGGTCTCCTGAATACAGCATACCAGTGGGCCTTGAATATGTATCTGATTTGCCAATCTGTGTCTTTGAATTGGGGCATTTAACCCATTTACATTTAAGGTTAATATTGTTATGTATGAATTTGATTCTGTTATCATGATGCTAGCTGGTTATTTTGTACATTACTTAATACAATTTCTTCATAGTGTCATCAGTCTTTATATTTTGATGTGTTTTTGCAGGGTTGATGCAGGTTTTTTCCTTTCCATATTTAGTGCTTCTGTCAGGAGCTCTTGTAAGGCAGGCCTGGTGGTGACAAAATCCCTCAGCATTTGCTTCTCTGTAAATAATTCTATTTCTCTTTCGCTTATGAAGCTTAGTGTGGCTAAATATGAAATTCTTTTTTCTGTTTGAAAATTCTTTTCTTTAAGGGTGTTTAATATTGGCCCCCACTCTCTTCTGGCTTGTAGGGGTTCTGCAGAGATCTGCTGTTAGTCTGATGGACTTCCCTTTGTAGGTAACCTGACCTTTCTCTCTGGCTGCCCTTAACATTTTTTTCTTCGTTTCAACCTTGGAGAATCTGATGATTATGTGTCTTAGGGTTGGTCTTCTCATGGAGTATCTTAGTGGTGATCTCTGTATTTCTTGAATGTGAATGTTGGCCTGTCTTGCTAGGTAGGGGAAGTTCTCCTGGATAATATCCTGAATTGTGTTTTCCAACTTGGTTCCATTCTCCCTGTCACATTCAAGTACACCAATCAATTGTAGCTTTGGTCTTTTCACATAGTCCCATATTTCTTGGAGGCTTTGTTCATTCCTTTTTATTCTTTGTTCTCTAATCTTGTCTTCATACCTTATTTCAGTAAGTTGATCTTCAATCTCTGATAGCTTTTATTCTGCTTGATCGATTCGGCTATTGATACTTGTGTATGTTTCACAAAGTTCTCATGCTGTGTTTTTCAGCTCCATCAGGCCATTTAGGTTCCTTTCTAAACTGGTTATTCTAGTTAGCAGTTCCTGTAACATTTACCAAGTGCTTAGCTTCCTTGCATTGGGTTACAACATGTTCCTTTAGCTCAGAGGAGTTTGTTATTATCCACCTTCTGAAGCCTACTGCTGTCAATTCATCAATCTCATCCTGTGTTCAGTTTTGTGCCTTTGCTGGAGAGGAGTTGCAATCATTTGGAGGAGAAGAGGCATTCTGGTTTTTGAAATTTTCATCATTTTTGCACTGGTTTTTCCTCATCTTCGTGGATTTATCTACCTTTGATCTTTGAGGCTGATAACCTTTGGATGGGGTTTTTGTGTGGGGGTACTTTATGTTGATGTTGATGTTTCATATGGAACCAAAAAAAGAGCCCGTATAGCCAAGACAATCCTAAGCAAAAAGAACAAAGCTGGAGGCGTCATGCTACCTGACTTCAAACTATAGTACAAGGCTACAGTAACCAAACAAGCATGGTACTGGCACCAAAACAGATATACAGACCAATGAAACACAACAGAGGCCTCAGAAATAACACCACACATCTACAAACATCTGATCTTTGACAAACCTGACAAAAACAAGCAATGAGGAAAGGATTCCCTATTTACTAAATGGTGTTGGGAAAACTGGCTAGCCATATCCAGAAAGCTGAAACTGGACCCCTTCCTTACACTTTATACAAAAGTTAACTCAAGATGGATTAAAGATTTAAGTCTAAGACCTAAAACCATGAAAATCCTAGAAGAAAACCTAGGCAATACCATTCAGGACATAGGCATGGGCAAAGACTTTATGACTAAAACACACAAAGCAATGGCAACAAAAGCCAAAATTAGCAAATGGGATCTAATTAAACTAAAGAGCTTCTGCACAGCAAAAGAAACTATCATCAGAGTGAACAGACTACCTAAAGAATGGGAGAAAATTTTTGCAATCCATCTGACAGAGGGTTAATATCCAGAATCTACAAGGAACTTAAACAAATTTATAAGAAAAAAACAACCTCATCAAGAAGTAGGCAAAGTATATGAACAGACACTTCTCAAAAGAAGACATTTATGTGATCAACAAACATATGGAAAAATCTTATCATCACTGTTCATTAGAGAAATGCAAATCAAAACCACAATGAGATACCATCTCATGCCAGTTAGAATGGTGATCATTAGAAAGTCAGGAAACAACAGACGCTGGAGAGAATGTGGAGAAATAGGAATGCTTTTACATTGTTGGTGGGAGTGTAAATTAGCTCAACCATTGTGGAAGACAGTATGGCAATTCTTCAAGGATCTAGAGCCAGAGCTACCATTTGACCCAGCAATCCCATTACTGGGTATATACCCAAAAGATTATAAATCATTCTAATATAAAGTCACATGTACACGTATGTTCATTGCAGCACTATTCACAATAGCAAAGACTTGGAACCAGCCCAATGCCCATCAATTTTAGACTGGATAAAGAAAATATGGCACATATACACCATGGAATACTATGCAGCTATAAAAAAGGATGAGTTCATGTCCTTTGTAGGGACATGGATGAAGCTGGAAACCATCATTGTCAGCAAACTAACACAGGAACAGAAAACCAAATTCCGCATGTTCTCACTCATAAGTGGGAGTTGAACAATGAGAACATATAGGCACAGGGAGGGGAACATCACACACTGTGGCCTGTCAGGGGTGTGGGGCAAGGCGAGGGATAGCATTAGGAGAAATACCTAATGTAGGTGACGGATTGATGGGTGGAGCGAACCACCGTGGCACATGTATACTTATGTAACAAACCTGCATGTTCTGCACATGTAGCCCAGAACTTTTTTTTTTTTTTGAAGATCAATACAAAAAAAAATATATGGATGCCTTTTTTCAAATCCTTATTTCTTGATCTATCTCATGTTCCTGTAGCCATTATAACACTCCCCATTTGGCAGCCTAGTGCATGACCTTCTTTCCTTATAAGGGCCATACAGAACAAACAACATGCAGGTATCTGCATGTGGTGTTTCGTAAAGTTGTTGTCTAACTGGCTATTGTACTGGTAGTTGAGAGTTGTTGCCCATAAATCACATGATGTCTCCTGTATGAGAACTTATCACCTTGAAACTAGCTACTGTTCAAAAGAAGATTGTAAGAATGTGTTTTAGAGATATTTATAATGTTAATAGTATTAATAAAATTAAAAATGTAAAATGCACATTTCTTCCTTACTTATCATTGTCTCTGATTATAAATCACTGTCTCTGGCAATGTTAATTCCCATTTTCTGCTTGTCAGTGCAATACAATCATGATAAGCAGAAGAAAGTAATTTCAGGACATTATAATAAAATATAAAATTTCAGGACATTATAATAAAATAAACAGAAGAAAGTAATTTCAGGACATTACCTGAGAAGTAGCAAAGTAAGTTAGCCATCTTTCTATGTGGACTGCATACCATCCAGGTACTAGGCATCTTCTCTGCAAAGTTTTTAAGTCAGATGGAGCCCAATGTCCTGTTGAAATAACTTCATAGAAATTGAACCTCAGAGCAGCTGGATCTTCATGTGATCGTTGGTGCTTTAACAAGAAAGTCAATTGTAAAGTTAGATTTTTTTTAATGCCTGTGTAGATATGCATATGTGTATGGGTGAGCACATGCATGTGTGTGTTTGGTGTGTATGTATAAATGTGTGTGTCCTTTATGTCACAAAATAATAACAAATCAAATACTTAATTTTAGAATGAAAATAAACTAATGAAATGAAATAGAATGACAACCGTATACATTGGAATACCCATTGGCACACTGCTTATTTTAAAGTAAATTAAAGTACAAGCCTTCACTATATATCAAGTGGTATACACATAAACTTGTAGTTATATTTATGTCTAAAGTGGTTAGGTGCAAGGCAGAGGTAGGATGTGAGGATTTTCTTCATGGATATTATTAAGACTGAGATGATGTCAGAGACCAGACAAATCAACCCTAATGAAAAATTTAGATTTTGCAAGAATAATCTTTTTAAGAGTAGTCTTACATGTTTCTTGGGCCACTGTTCCATTACTGCCACTCCTTCAGATTCTGACATTTCCCCAATATCCCTGTGTATCAGGTGCTATGGGTACAGAGAAAGCTGCTGTCTATTTCTCATGCTTGTTTAGATGTCATATTCATATTACATCACCCAAGGTCCTTTCTGTTTGAAAGGGTTTCTATCTAAACCTGCTAATTCACGAATACTGCTTCACTTCTACTTTTCAGTATCAAATCCTGAGTCACACCAAACTATCATTGGTCAAACAGGAAAGGGCCCAGCTCAGTGAGAGATAAATTTAACAGTCAATACAATTTAACAAGCATTATTTAAGCTTCTTTCCAGAACAAAGATCTGAGATAGATCCTGGAGATGAAAAGATATAAGACATAACCACTCTCTTCAAAGAAATCAGATCTAGTGTGGGAGACAATAGATTGGAATAAAGTTGTATATTTGACATATTTGATTAGAGGTAGAAGTTACTTGCTGTGACAGCCAGATCAGTAAGGGATTAATTCTGACTGCAGCATGAAAGGACTTTTCAACGGTTGAAGCTTTCAAGCTAAAATGTAAGGAGAAAGATTGTGATAATCAGAAAAACAAAACCACCAAACACATATGAAAACTAAGAGGACTTCGTCATCTAAGGTAAGTTTGAGCTAAGATAGATGAGGTATGCGGGAATAAGTGTTGTGAAACTTCTAAAAGTGAATTTGAAGAAATTCTAGTGTAGGGTAAATGTGGAAGTATACTGGTCCGTGCTATGACTGTGTAATGGCTGGCCTTATGTGTGAGTGATGGATCTTATGTGTGAGTTAGAAATAAAAATAACTAGAAAAGTAAAGATGATTAGGAATTGATGAGTGGTTAAAGAATAATTAGTAAGTGGCATACACTTTTGAAGTTCTCTTGTTGTTGTATATTTATTGATATTTTTACATGTGTATACCTTATGCTGAGTATATAGATTATATAACTCATTTAATTAGTAAAATGTGTAGAAATTATATAATTTCAATGAAGAATAAGAAACACACTACATACATATTTAATACAGTAATGCTAAAATGTCTACCTTAAGCAGTGATAATATGAAACTGTGCTTAATCTGTTCTATGTTGACTTTTACCAGTTTAGCACCAACTTTTCTTTATATTCCTGCAACTAAGTAGATTAGCATAAAAATATGACCATGAAGTCACAAAAGGACATATTTTATGGAAAAACAGCACTATAGCTCCTCTGCGAGGTCCGTTATAAAAATGTGGGGTAGAAATTACAGCGGCAGGTGACATTTGTAGGAGTTTCTGAATTATGCCTGCTGAGCTTTGGATTTATGGTATTTACTGAATAGACAGGACTAGCTAAGTAATAGGCTACATTATTTTGAAATGTGGAGCAGTGTGGGGCCCTGCTCACTGCAATACAGCAATAAAAAGTATTATCAGAAAAAATAATTCCTTTCAAACCTGTATGTATGTTCAAAGAATTTATTTGAAAAAGCAAGCGCAGAGAGGCACACACATCATAAAGATTCTCTTTTATTGAACTGGTTTAATCTATGTGGAAAAAAAAGATTCACTTAAATCTGCTCTAGATAGTGACCATGCTTTCTGCTAGGGAAATGTTTAACATTTTCCTCAATTGCTTAAATTTATAACTTTAAGGCTTCATGCTTTAATGCTTTTGGTATACTGAAAAAATAAGTTTATCTTGCTTTGCAATGAGTGTTCACAAACTGAGAAAGACATAATTCTTGTACCTTGTGGGAAATACTGACTCGTGTATTAGATAAATTCTGATGGTAGTTTATAAATTTTGCTTCCAATCTAAGTGTTTTTTTTGGATCCCAACTACTCGACCTCCAGTTTGCAATGTCACATTTTTCTATACATCAGTATTTGTTTTCAGTAATACATTTTTTATTAAATAAATTTTGAAAAATCAAGAAAAAGAAGCAAAAAAATGAAATTACTTGTTATCCTACTCCACCCTTCAAAAATTCCCTTTTAGTCTTCTTTACTTTGGTATTAATTTGTATATGCACTAAATTCGTACATACACAAAATGCACTCACATCGTTGGGATTTTGGTATATATACACTGTTACCATCATAACTTCAAGATTACCAACTTGTATTAGGCCATCATTGCTGTAGGCGAATTTACATTTTTGTTGTCAGCTTTATTGCGCCACTGTATAATGATTTCACATCCTCTTTTTTTCCTCTTCTCAAACTGCTGTGTCTTCAAACTATCACCCTCTTTTCATCAGATTAACTCATTCCAGGCTTCTCAAAGGAAGGAGAGACCATCACAGTCACTTCAATTTTTCCATCTCAGGTCTTTGGATTTACCAGTGTCTACATTCATCCCCTCTTCTATCCCTTAAGCTTCAACCCAGGGATTCTCAAACATAGGCCTGTTGATAGAATACAGTGTGTCTACGAACTCGGATCAGCAAAAGAAAAAAAAGAAAAACGACAAAAATACTTTTTGTGGCAGGGCGCGGTGGCTCACGCCTGTAATCCCAGCACTTTGGGAGGCCGAGGCAGGCGGATCACGAGTTCAGGAGATTGGGGAAAACACGATGAAAACCAGTCTCTACTAAAAAAAAAAAAAAAAAAAAAAAAAAAAAAAAATTAGCCAGGCATGGTGGCACGCACCTGTAGTCCCAGCTACTCAGGAGGCTGAGGCAGGAGAATGGCATGAACCTGGGAGGTGAAGGTTGCAGTGAGCCGAGATCACGCCATTGCACTCCAACCTGGGCGACAGAGTGAGACTCCATTAAAAAAAAACAAAAAAGCAACAACAACAAAAAACTTTGTTTTCAGTAATTACTGAATGGAATGTATGTAGACAACAGCCACAGTATTTATTGTACTGTGATTGTGATTTTACCACCAATAAAAATCAGTTATTTTATATCCCATTACCAGTGTCTTAGATATATCAAAATGTTGCTTATGGTCACTATTTCAAAGTTATTATAGTACTAGACTCATCATTATCATATGATGTAGTACTAGACTCATCAAATCATATATCATATATCATATGATATAGTACTAGACTCATCAAATTATCATATGATGATTTAATTAAAAAGTTTGTTACTGATTGAAAAAGTATTTCACATTAACATAGCAGTTTCTTTTGTATACATATTTCGTTTTAGGCTTTTAAAATATATTTTTGAAACACTTACAGGAACCACCAGACAGCTAGAAGAATCTCAACACAAGAAAAGTTAAGAACTCAGAATGCAGGCAGGGTTGCCCCTGGTCCCACCATCTAAGCCATTTCCTATAGCCATTCTTTCCTGTATCTCCGCGGAGTTGGTTACCTATTTTCTCTTCTGGGCCTTTAACCTCTCTTTTTCTTTGGAAATGACTTATCAAATCAACACTACTACAGATCATGTTTTCTCAGTTCTACTTCTACTTCTATGTAATAAACCAGTGTCCTGTTTTACCCCTTCAAAATCACACTTTTGGAGTCTTTCGCAAGTGCTGCCTCTATTTCTTCACCCCTAATTACTTCTTTTTTCACCAAAATCCATCTGGCTTTGCTCTTTTTTACTGTCTTGCTAAGGGCTCCACTTCCCTCCACATCTTTCGCTTTGCCTAATGGTTTGATTTTTTAGCAGCTTTTGGAATTGTTGTCACGCCTCCATCTGGCAGCACTCCCTTCCCTTCGAATCAGTGCCACTGCACTCCTGAATTTTTTTCTTCTATTTTGGCTATATTTTCTTGTCTTTCTTGGCGCCTCATCCCGCTCTGCACTTTTCATCTCTAAACTCTTTCCTTAGGTGATTTCACCATTTACATGGCCATGGCTTCATACCTCTGATTCACAAATATCTAGCTCAGACTTCTCCCAGAGTGTCAGCTGACTTCACTGTTCTTTTGATAATGAAGGGTTTCATTCATCATGATCATAATCCACACTTTTTTTAGTCCCCACCTCCCACCCCACCCCAACCCTCCTGTATACTGCAGCGATTCTTTTTTCATGGGAATGTGTGGCCATCATCTAGGGCCCACATTGGAAATTTGTTTCATCCTTGACACTATGTTCTCACCAAATTCTGTTGATTTTAATGTCTAAATATCTCTGAATACTTATTCTTCATTCAGTTTCTACTTACCATTTTTGTCTACACCATTTCCATACCTCACTAAGTCTATTGCAATAGCTTCAAGTGTGATTTCTCCAAAGAGTCATTTGTCCTATTCCAGTTTCTTCAAATAGCAGATAATGTGATGTATTGTAAAAGAAAATCTGGTAGTCACACACTGGCTACTGTTTTTCAAAGGCTTTCAGTTGCTCAACAAATGGCAGCAGCCAGATGGTTCTAGCCCTAGTGTGCCTCTCAGCTGCAACTCCTATAGGTCTCTACCTAGGATTTTCCCACTAGCCACGCGGAATTTCTTCTAGCTCTTTAAATGTGCCATGATTCTTTATATCCAATGCGTTTAACATATACTGTATCCTCTACTCCACCTTTCTTCTATTCTCACTCAGGGAATATCTACTTGTCCTTCAGTTTTAGGTCTTAATTTATTTTCTTACACAATGCTTTCAGAGAACCTTTACATACTTCCTCACAGTACATTCACAATGTTTAATTACATATCACTATGATTATTTAATATCTACACATTAGACAAACAACTTTTAATTACTATTTTATTAATTAAAACCACAGTTAAATGTTGCTGCAGAATATTCCATTTTAGTATGACACAAATCTATGTCAATGAACACTTTCCTCTTGTTATTATTTTTGTAGATAGTGCTGCAATGCTCCTAAACATTTGTCCATCCTTTTGAAGTTTCCCTTATGATCAATTACAGAAGGGGAATCACATCACTAAAAGATCTTTACATCCTTTTTTGTAATTATTGCCAAATGAGTTTTCAGAAAATATCTTAAGTGTACCTTCTATTGGAACACTTGAGAACCTTTGTAATCACTTTCTTGCCAGCAGAGAAAAACATCATAATTGTTGTCAAGATACTAAAAAAAAGAATGGGCTGGGCTTGGTGGCTCATGCTTGTAGTCCCAAAATTTTGGGAGGCTGAGGTTGGTGGATTGCTCGAGCCCGGGAGTTCAAGACCAGCCTGGGCAACATGGTGAAACCCCATCTCTACAAAAAATATAAAACAAATAGGCGGGTGTGGTGGTGTGTGCCTGTAGTCTCAGCTACTTGGGAGGCTGAGGCAGGAGGATAACTTCAGCCCAGGAGGGAGAGGCTGCAGTGAGCTATGATCACGCCACTGCACGCCAGCCTGGGTAATAGAGTGAGACCTGGTCTCCAATTGGGTTGATTATTTTCACATAAGTTGTTGGACTGTTGTTTTTGTGTGTGCGATTGTTTAGCTGTGCCTTTTCTTCACTTTGCTCATTTTTCTACTGCGATATTTTACTTATTTATTAACTTGGACGAAACTTTTATAAAATAAAGCTCTATGCCATTCACCATGTATTGTCACTCTAGAAACTGACTTTTAAATTTGTTAATTTTTGATAAATCAACATTCTACATGTTTATATAGCTTAGGAAATCTATTAATTCTTTGGTGATGTGTGAGTTTTTAAATAATTATTTTATGCCTGAAAGTCCTTGCCCAACTTGGTACGAGTTAAATATACAGCTCATATTTCTCATATTTTTTGGTGGGGGTTGTGGGTTTAGATATTCTTACATTTGACTTTTCATATGTTTAGGTTCTATTCTGGTTATTTTTCATTGCCTCCATTTAAGCTATAACAAAATGCTTTTAGCCGATTTTTTTACTGACCATACCTGGTACCAAGAGTATGCCCTGTCTGAGGGGTCAATGAGGATGGTGATGATCTTGGCTTTGGGGACAAGAGATGCGGCTCGTCTTGGAGCTTCTTCCGAATGGAAGTAATTAGCACTCTTTTCAAACAGAAAGTCACTTGTAGTATTGGATGGTGTAGGGAAAAAGTCCATATACCTGAAGGCAGAGAAAGACAATTAATTAATCTGAAAATAATTTTTCTTGCCATATTCTGAATGTGAAATAATTGGAACATTTTAATATTCATTTATAGCTATTTCTGATTATTATGCTGTTATAGTTTAAATAATAGATATTCTATACACATTGAATGTGAAGTCAACCCAAAATATTCCTCTTCTAATGACCCATTTTGGGCATGGGAAGGAGTGAGGTGAAATAGGTAGGCCAATAAGGGTCAAAGGAAAAGTACTATACATTTGGGCTGATGTTCTGTGCTATAAAACTCCAATTCCAGAAATACTATTTGCCTGTGGCAAATAGCAAATTACACTATATTGTTTAGTTGATATTAAAAAATAGTAAATTTATGTTTGCAAATTTGAATGCAGAAATTATTCGGTGAGATTAAAGTTCACAAGACAGAAAAATGTGTGAGTCTGAATAGCTATAAAACACCAACAATTTTAGGGCATGGCGGTTCTCTTCCTTCTTAATTTCTTCGTAATTTGTAGTATACGTAGCGATGTGAACACTTTATAGTCTATCTAGAGTAATTAAGGGGATATTTCCTGCCAGTTGATCCTGTGGTGCCTCAGTAGGTTCCCTCCTCCATATGCTGTCAAAACGTTCCTCTGCGTGTGGATTATGGAATCAATATGTTCTGAGGTTAATTCAGTGCAAGTCTTTAATTATGTGTGTAACCCTCCTTACAGCTCATCACTTCTCTCACCCTCAAATGTTCTAGAAATAAATAATAAGAGCAATTAAGAATTCATATAAGACACTTATTTCCCTCTTTGACATTTGTTATTATGTTTCCCAAAAGCGGAGTGGTGAAGAGTCTCATCTATATTCCTGCTAAACAATTTGTGTTCCATTTGGGCTCACAGATCAGAGAAAATTGCCGTTCTGCTTTTAATAACCTGCATGCAATTCCAAAGGTTATTTAGCCTTTTAAAAGTAAGGTAGGATATAATGTCCCAGATGCAGAGTCGACACATCTCCAACAACAATGGGAACCTTGATCTGCTCGCCGGTGTTGCACCTGCCCAACCCTGATCCTAGCTGTACCTTAAAAAAATGTGTCTTTCGGCCGGGCGCGGTGGCTCACGCCTGTAATCCCAGCACTTTGGGAGGCCGAGGCGGGCGGATCACGAGGTCAGGAGATCGAGACCATCCCGGCTAAAACGGTGAAACCCCGTCTCTACTGAAAATACAAAAAATTAGCCGGGCGTAGTGGCGGGCGCCTGTAGTCCCAGCTACTTGGGAGGCTGAGGCAGGAGAATGGCGTGAACCCGGGAGGCGGAGCTTGCAGTGAGCCGAGATCCCGCCACTGCACTCCAGCCTGGGCGACAGAGCGAGACTCCGTCTCAAAAAAAAAAAAAAAAAAAAAAAAAAAAAAAAAAAAAAAAAGTGTCTTTCATTGCAAACAGGTTCATGCATGATGATGACACACAAACTTACATGCTGCAGATGTGTGCATTGAGGGGAATTTTCCTCAGGTGAGATTTGCTTTATATACCTGTGAACTAGAAATTAAATTCAGGACCATGTTTTCTTGAAAAATTGGAATAGAGCTAGAAAAAATCACCAGAGTGAAAATCATTTCCAGTATCAGGTTTATTCTATTTTAGTTTAGGGGAAATACTGTGATTTTATTTTTTTCATAATTTATCATGTGTTACTTAATATTTATTTTATGTACGTGTGTGACTAGAATTGATATGGTTTTGAAAATGTCCTGTTATTATTTGCATGACAAATATCAGCCTACATTATAACAAAACTTACAGTTTATGTGGTTAATGAAGATACATGTCACGAATTATAAAATAAACTACTGATTTATTTGTTGCCTGAAACATTGTTGCGAAGACAAATTATGTGTTGAGAAAAAAATTAGGCACAGTTAAATAATGCTACGCTTAAAGAGAATTTTAAATACCCTTATGAATAATTCTGATGAAATATATCCCATAATGTTTTTTATTCAATCATATTAATTTAGCAGAAAAATATTATCATTATTGCACTGTCCAAATCACATTATAGGCAACACTGATTAAACATATCATCATTATAAATTAATTTCTAATTCACTGTGGTGAATTTATCCTGTAATTATGCAGATGCCACACATACATCTGTAATTGCTCTGCAGTGATTGAGCATGTGTTAATAATGGAATTTATTTTTTGTTATTTTTCTTACCAGTCTATTCCTTTGTGATAGTTGTTGCCATTAAAGAACTGAACTTCCTCAAATGTCTTTGGACTAGGGAGATTGCTGATGATTGAAGGATGCATAAGAAGAAATAAATAAAGTGCAGTTGTTCCTGTTACAAAAAAAGAAAGTAAAAGGTTATATGGCAATAAGAGACAAAATATTATTTTAGCATATTTTTGCTCAAAAAGTAATATTAAAATAATCAACTATTTCCAGTATCAAAGTGATTTCCTTAAAATCAACTAGATGCATTCCATGCAGCCACAATCTAAGTGTTCTATTTTTAGTCTTCATGATTCTATTGATCAGAATGCCTGATTTAATATTAGCACATGGCCAAAGTAAAGCAGACTGATGATGCAGCTAGTGTGGCACTGCGGAAGTCATGCAGCTCAACTTTCCTCCAGGAGTCAGGTGAGTGGCTAAAGCATGAAGGGCAAGGGTCCTTCTGGCTCCATCTTTATCATTAGGCATGGTATCTTACCTGGTGGGTCTTCAATTAGCATTGAAATTCAGATGAATGAAATCAAACTATTTAACAGAGGTTGATGTGCTACTCTGTGTATGGTCCGGAAGTAACTCTTGATTAAGAAAACACATTTGCTGCCCTCAATGAACTTAAAGTCCCTGTGTGGACTTGGACAAGTACACAAGTAATTGTGATGTTGTGGGACAGGTGCCATAATGAGAGAAGACCAGAGCACCTTTCCAATATATGAGAAAATGGGTGATTTAGACTTGGGAAATCAGTGACAGATTCTAGGAGGAAGTGTATTCTAATACTTTTCCTTAAAAACATAAGTGTTACACAGCAAGGTTGAAAGAAGAAGGCAGGACTCTTGAAAGATGGCTGCTTCAATGACTTCTCTGGCAAAATATGACAAGTCTGATAATTGGAGCACTAGATAGAGCAGACTGGCTGATAGAAACCACCTGTGTGCACATTGCAGAGGTCTCAAATGTAATCTCTGAACCTTATTTCCCTCAGAGCCAGGCCGGAGACTGGCAGCTAGCTATAGCAGAAAGAACTCATGAACTGACTGGGTCATCATAACTCTCATAAATCAAGACTTTTCTTCTGGAAAAGGTAAACTGTTCTGTGATACATTGGAGTGAGCAGCAGTTGTTAGATTTCCTAGCCCTAGCAGAGCTGCAGACAAGCTACATAGGTGGGCTGGCAGAACAACTATCATTGCAAATGGGATCTGGAAGTAGACAAGGCCAGCAGATAATTGGCATTTTGTTCACATATACCTTAAGCTCATATGAGCAAAGGCTACTGCACTTTGAGTATTAATGAGATTGCCGCCCTTTTAGATCCTCCCAGCTTTACATGGCCACCAAGAGGTAATGAGTAGCTAAAGGGAAGAACGTAACAACAGATCCATGGGGACCAACCACCTTGATGGAAGACATGTTAAAACACCTAGAATGAAACACTGTGTGCGAAATAAGATGGCAAAATTAATAAATGCCCTAGGGATATGTAATTACTAATTTAAAAAGATTTAAGGAATAACAAATGTGAAATCGAATTATACAAACTTGATTAAAAGAATGAAGGAGACAGAACTGGTTAAGAACTAAATTAGAGTCTTAAAGTTTAGACAGGAGAAATCTCTCAACCACACTGAAAAATACAGATGTAATAGTTATGAGGGACGAGGGGCATCCTCAAGAGCTTATATGGTTTACTCCTAAATATAACAGGAGTTTAAAAACGAGAAAATGTGAGAAGAGCAAAAACAAAAAATGTTCTAGGGAAATGAATTAGCAATAGAGTAGAAACTGGAAGGAAACATGAAATCTAGAAGTTTTTTTTAAAAATACTTTTTAAGATAACACTTTCTTAAGGGGGGTGGAGAGAAAGATAGATTTGAGACACACAAAACACAAATGAGAAAATTGATAGTTTAATATTCCTAAGGTATTGAAGGTAGATGCATGCAGGGCACAGATAAAAATATTCTTTAGTTGTTGATTATCTAAATATAGACACTTTATAGCCTCACTCAGTAATAAGTAGAAATGTTTAATTACCCTGTTGGTCACATAATCGTACCCCGATCTCCCCTGGCCTACAGAAAGCCAAAGCCTTTATGTTCTGCACACATACCTTCATGCCTCCAGGACCTTAAGGGACATCAAGAGGCATCTGATAGGGAGGAGAGAGCAAGCACTCTCAACTAGAAACAGAAAAAATGTGGCTTGATATTCATGTAATCAGCCATAAAATCTGGGCCCATTACCTCAAAATGCACATTTTAAAAATTATCACCTAAATTTTTCATCTATCCTTGACATTAATTTTCTATCAATTTCTTTTACCTCATTTCCTTTTATATCAACTTCTTTAATATAAATATTTCATGGAAGAAGAGGAAAAAATCCTATACTAATAGAAACTATTCTATTTTATATACAATCAACTCCTCCTTAGTTTTAATGTACGGGGGTAAGCCAGGCAAATCATGAGACATTAATATTGACAGTGTGAACACTGATCTTCTGAAAGATCTAAGGCCAATGAGTTATGCTCTTATAATTGTTGTGCTAAATGTAACCCTATGAGAATCCTCTTTTTACATTGACAATACCAGAATTTGACTCTGAATGATGAAGGATGAATATCTGTTCAAAGGCTCACAAGGGACTATGATTTGAACTTTGAGTCCCTTAAGTCTAAGGTCTCTAAGTCTATGTCCATCATCTCTGCCTATTTCTCTTCTCCCCTTCCTCATTCCCTGACCGACTTTCAGCCCACAGGAATCTCTTCTGGGATTCAGCAATGGCAAAGTGAAATATCACGTCTTTCCATTCTCACCTCACAAAAACTGAGCAAATAGGAGTTTGGGAACCACTTTTGTACCTCATGCTTCTTGTAAGAGATGCATGCACCACATTTAAGTCACTGAAAGACAAGTTTGCATTTAAGGGAAGATTGGCAGCACGTATTTGTGACCCCCCTGCAGTGAATTTATAGTCTCTGACAGCACTGGGTGTTTTGCCAACTGAAGCAATAAGAAGAACAAACTATGACTTCAGACTTCTACAATTGGATTTTAAGAATTACTACAACCGTTTTTATATTAGAAGAATATTTTCATAGCCTATGAAATATTATTACCATCTGATTCCTTTGTTTTAACATCTTATTTGTTTGTTTGTCTTAGGAAAGCCAAAACCAGCTAAATGCTTTATCATTTCCATACTGGTAGGTCAAATATGAAAATCTAAACGTATAGCTTAATGTCTTTATGAATGCAAACAACAAGAAAGAAAAATAGATTTATAGTTACTAAGCTGTAATTTTTTCACAGAACTAAAACATAATAATATTCAATGACAAATGATAGGGGATACATCTTTCTATTAGATTTTTAACACAATTTTACAACACAGGAGTGTTTTATTTCTTTAGTAGTCACTCCAGAGTTAGCAATGCTGTAAGGGAGTTGGTAGAAAATTAATGTACATTTTAAACAACAACAAAAGTGATCTATCTGAAAATATGTGTTGCTCTTTCCCCTCCCTGCACATGTGTTAACTTACTGTTGTAATACAATTTATATTCCTAGAGAAAGAAAAGATTTCAACAACCAATATTTAATAGTCTGGAAATTTTGCCCACAACTTTTAAAATGACCTACTTACTTGTATTACAAATACCTTCATCTGGGCCAGGCTTATTTATTGAGACTGTTTGTTTTCTGTTATGGTTTGTGCACTCACTGATGAAAATGCTTCTAGTCAAAGTAGTGAATTCAAAATACAGCAACTCAATAAAACTTTAATTAATCAGGACATGAGCAAAGTGTATAAAACTGTCACATACTGAAGAAAGTATAAAATATTCTAATTGAAAGTGTCATCTCATTGGTGAAATGCTTTCACTCTCTTTTACTGCATTCTTATACAGTTGTCCTTCAGTGCATGAGAGAATACCAAGGAAAAAATACCTGATGAACTTCAAGTGTTTCAGAAAGTAAGTCCATATCATGCTAATACCTAATGATTAATTTTTTAAAAGGAATCACATATGTAAAATATTTGAAAGTAATCATGGCAGTGACTGAATAAAAATCAATTCAAAGGCTGATATACCAGATAAAATAGTTTGAATCGGGCCAAAACATGTTTTTATAAATTGCTTTAGAAATTAATTAAATAAAGCCAAAAAAGTAAAAATTAAAGATGAGGTACAACAACTGAGACACATAAGTTCAAAGTTGTCCAAATTTGGCATGTATGTTGAACAGTTTTAAAGTTCATAAAGAATTTAGTGTTTAAGGCTACTTAGTGGGAAACTTTAAGATCCTCTTGAGGTTCATGGTATAAATGCGAATCATGGAGATGACAAGCAGTTCAAATAATAAACTTGCATGGATAGCTAAATATTTCACAAAGAAAAATCTAATCTGATAAATCCATATACCAATGTATTTCATAAAATATTTTTAAAAAGGATATAAGTAGCACAATTGGCTATTTTTACCTGTTTTTTGTGGACCAATTACTAGAAATTTTGGTAAGTGGTCACAAGTTTTCTCTCTGGACCAGATGTCTTTGTGTCGTTTATCATCACATGGATTCTGCAAGAAGGAAGAATAAGTAACCTCACAGTGTAATGACTGTCTGGCTCTGTTCTCTAAAAATTGTTCAAAAGATGGAATCAAATTCTGGCCTAATACCTTAGAACTTGGAGTTAGACCTCACTCTCGTTCTCTGGTTTCCAAATCTTTTTTAAATAAAGTTATTGACACCTTCCTTATCTCAAGGCTGGGACTCAGCATCAAGTCCTTCCTGTTGTTATCATCTTTCAGTGTTTGGCAAGGCTCTAATCCCTGTGATACTACTCTATTTCTTGGTTTATGTTTTATGTCTATATATCAGAGGACTTGACTTAACCTGGTTTCATCATAGTTACTCATATTACTGTGTTCTCCCTAATCATTCCTATTTTTTCTCCCTAGAGGCTGGAATGCTATCCTTGAATTCCAGACTTGGCCAACTTTTCCTTTTCATTTCATTTCATGTTTTGATTCAAATATTCCCATGGTTTGGCCACATCTTATAAGCTGATAGCTTCTAGATCAGTATCCAGCCTCTACCTCCCTCCTGAGCTCTAGACTTAAGGTTTTATATTGCAAATATATCATTTTTGTATAGATACGGTGAGGAAATTTCAGACTCAACATACCCAATGTATCCATTGGTCCAATATTATGCCCATCTAACCTACACTTCCAGTGCCAGTTTTTATTTCATTCTATCTGGCTGACTCTAATTTATTACCAAAATCATTACACTTTTGAGAATTAAAAGGGCTTTTAAAATTAAAAGGATAAAATTTTTGAAATATTTATTGACTGCCATGTTGGTTTTATTATATTGGTGACCTACACAATAATTATATTCAAGATGATTGTCACAAGTAAAAGTATTTTTAAAAAACATATACCTTGGAAATTAAAACATTCTATTTTTATATTTATTATCCCAATATTAACAATGAAACAAGAAGGAAAAACATTTATGGTTCATATTTCTGTACTTTAATCAGTTCCTTTTTCACTTAATTTTTAATTTTTTAATTTTTAATTTTATGGCTACATAGTGGGTATATACATTTTTGAAATACATCAGATATTTTGATACAGGCATACAATACATAATAATCACATCAGGGTAAATGGGGTATCCATTACTTCAAGCATTTATCATTTCTTGTAGTACAAGTGTTCTAATTTTATGCTTTTGTTATTTTAAATGTAAAATAAATTATTGTTGACTGTAGTCACCTTGTTGTGCTGTTAAATACTAGATTTTATTCATTCGATCTAACTATATTTTTGCACCCATTAACGATCCCCATTCCTACCACCTCCACTTTGCTTCCCAGCCCCTGGTACCCATCATTGTATCATTATATGCTCTATCTCCATGAGTTCAATTGTTTTAATTTTAAGTTCTCACAAATGCATGAGAACATGTGAAGTTTGCCTTTTTGTGCCTGGCTTATTTCACTTAACGTAATATCCTCAGGTTTCATCCATGGTGTTGAAAATGACAAAATCTCATTCTTTTTCATGGCTGAATAGTACTTCATTGTGTATAAGTACCACATTCCCTTCATTCATTTCTCTGTTGATGGATACTTAAGTTGCTTCCAAATCTTGGCTATTGTGAATAGTGCTGAAATAAATGTGGGAGTGCAGGTATCTCTTCAATATACTGATTTCCTTTCTTTTTTTTTGAGACAGAGTTTTGCTCTTGTTGCCCAGGCTGGAGTGCAATGGCACAATCTCGGCTCACCGCAACCTTCGCCTCCCAAATTCAAGCGATTCTCCTGCCCCAGCCTCCCGAGTAGCTGGGACCACAGGCACGTGCCACCACACCCGGCTAATTTTTTGTATTTTTAGTAAAGACGGGGTTTCACTATGTTAGCCAGGATGGTCTCTATCTCCTGACCTCATGATCTGTCCACCTCAGCCTCCCAAAGTGCTGGGATTACAGGCATGAGCCCGACCAATTTCCTTTCTTTTTTAGAATATTTTTAATATTCATGATGTTAGATTGCTGAATCACATGGTAGTTCTATTTTTCGTTTTGTGTGGAAACTCCATATTGTTTTCCATAGTGGTTGTACTAATTTACATTCCCACCAACAGTGTCCAAGTGTTCCCTTTTCTCTACATCTTAACTAGCATTTGTTATTACTTGTCTTTTGGACAAGATATGTCTTAACTGGGGTGAGATGGCATCTCATTGTAGTTTTGATTTGCATTTCTCTGATGATCAATGATGTTGAGAACATTTTCATATAATAATTTGGCATTTGTATATCTTCTTTTGAGAAATGTCTATTCAGATCCTTTGCCCATTTTTAAATCAGATTATTAGTTTTTTTTTTCCTATAGAGTTGTTTGAATCCCTTACATATTCTGGTTAAAAATTCATTCTCAGATGGGTAGTTGCAAATATTTTACTTCAATCTTTGGGTTGTCTCTAAACTTTATTGTTTCCTTTGCTGTGCAGCCTTTTAACTTGATGTGATCCCATTTGCCCATTTTTGCTTTGGCATGGACTTGTGGGGTATTGCTTAAGAAATCTTTGCCCAGACTAAATGTCTTGGGGAGTTTCTCCAATGTTTTATTTTAGTAGTTTTATAGTTTGAGGTCTTAGTTTTAAGTCTTTAATCCATTTTAATTTTATTTTGTGTACGGAGAGAGATAGGGGTCTAGTTTCATTCTTCTGCATGCAGCTATCCAGTTTTTCCAGTACTGGTTACTGAAGAATCTATCTTTTCCCCAGTGTATGTTCTTGACATCTTTGGTGAAAATGAGTTCACTGTAGAGGTATGGGTTTATTTCTGGATTCTCTATTCTGTTTCATTGGTCTATGTGTCTATTTGCATGCCAATACCATGCATTTTGGTTCCTATAGCTCTGTAGTATAATTTGAAGTCAAGTAATGTGATTCTTCCTATTTTGTACTTTTTGCCTAGGATGACTTTGGCTATTCTGGGTCCATTGTGGTTCCATGTTAATTTTAGGATTATTTTTTATATTTCTGTGAAGAATGCCATTGGTGGTATTAATCAATTCTTTAGATACATCTTTCTTTAATACTATGTCACCAAAGTTCTGAAGAATGATCGTTTTTGATATATTATTATGTTTTGCTTTTCTATAAAATTGTCTTCAATCCTTCTCAAATTTGCATTTCATAGTTAATAAATGTGAAAGTGTTGACACTCAAATTACTCTTCTCTGTAAGCCACTGTATTTTTAACTGGAGAGAGAGTTGAGATAAGCCCCTTCCTTTCCTTTCTTTCTTTCTTTTTTTTTTTCAACACAGTCTCGCTCTGTCACCCAGGCTGGAGTGCAGTGGTGCCAACTCGGCTCACTGCAACCTTCTCTTCTCAGATTCAAGTGATTCTCCTACCTCAGCCTCCGGATTATCTGAGACTACAGATGTGCACAACCATGCCCAGTTAATCTTTTATTTCTTTGGTAGAGATGGGGTTTTGCCATGTTGCTCAGGCTGGTCTGGAACTACTGGCCTCAAGTGATTCTCTGGACTTGGGCTCCCAAGGTGCTGGGATTAGCATGAGCCACTGTGCCTGGCCAATAAGCAAATTTTCAGCTCTAATTTTTTTAATATGAAAATGTCTAAATATTAGAGACCAAATATTTTCACAATTATTTTCCATTAAGAATGTTTTTCTTTGACAAATACTTTTAAATATAACACTTGTCAAGTGAGTTTTCTCTAATTATGATTCTTTTAACCATTTTGCCAAATATAGGTGCTGCAAAATCATAGACTTCTCAATATCATTTTATTCTATGACAGAATATAATTTTATCCAATTAAAATAGAAGATCCATTAAGAAATGCTTAGGCCGATTCTTCCCAGTGTTATTATATAGACTAAAGGGACCAGTATCACCCTGGCATTCTGCAGAACCTAACACTGGCTCACTATATTGTTGACATGATATTTGGACCTGACAAATAAGTGGAAATTACTCTGGCTGCCTTAATAAAACACATGCACCTCAGAGGATGGAAGACAAGCATACAAAGTTTTAGGAGCCTGCCACCTTTTAAGCTTTCAGGGGTCTGGACATCTTGAGCACACTGGGACATCCCGTTCATAGCAAAGTGTAAGTTGTACATTGCAACTCCTACTGCTAAGAGGTAGCACAGTGCTAGGAAATATTTCTCTGTGCATTTATTGAGTGATACAGATAGCTTCAAGTTTAGGATGGGGCCTAGAGCAAGAAAGGGGTAGGCAGTAGGTAAGGCTGAAGTACAAGCCACCCTCACACTTGGGCTTTATATGCTGGAAGATTCATGATACTATGGCATCAATGATATAAATGGATGCCTTGTGGAATATCTGGCAAGTACTTGAAAAGAATCACAATGTACACTTTTAAGGTTCTGTAGCAAAGCATACTATCTGAATCATATTACGCAAACCATAGCACTTGTATACTGCTGTATCCAAGAAGAGAGTGCTATGGAAGAGAGTGTTTGTCATTAGTCACTAATGTGATCAAGTGGCCATAACTACCCACCATGAACTGAATAGTGATAGACCCATCAAATCATAAATTCAGGTATGTCCAGCAACAATTCACTGTAAGATGGGAATGGTATATCTGGGATCAGTGTCAGGCTGATCCAGGGGCCACTTACAAATAAGTGGCCCATGATTCTAAGTCACCTGTCACTGTTGCACTGATGCTTCTCCATCAGCTCATTTTTAGTTTTGTGAAGGGTTTCTATAACCTGCTGACAAAGAGGAGAAACCCAGGCTTGGTTTGCAGATGGGCTAACCCATATGTTAGTAGAAGACTAAAATGGACTTTGGTGGCACTACAGTTCCATTCAGAGGGGTTTCTAAAAATCGCTGGTTAATGGAACTCTTTCAGTTGTCAGAGTTGTGGGCAGTGTACCTAGTCATCTGCTTTTTGTTTGCTTTGTGGATAGACTTATAGCCAAAGGTAAGGATATGACAAACTAATCAGCAGAGATGAATAAATGGCATAGGATGGACAGGACAGGCAACTTGAAGGAACAAGCTAGGAAAATTAAGATAGGAAGTTCTAAGAAAGAGGCATGTGGATGGACCTATGATAGTGTCCAAAGTGTGTGATGGTCTTTGTATTATACATTAATGTACACCAGAGAGCATTTTATGTAGAAGAGGCCCTGACAACCAAGAGAGCAGTATGATTCAGCCAGGTTACAACATTCCTACGTGTTGCCTAACCTCTGTTGTCAACTAACCCAGAGCTAATGCAAATGGCTCATGAATAGAGTAACCATGGCAGCACAGGTGAAAGCCATGCATGGACCTCTTTCCCCTATGTCTTCTGTAGTTACTGCCAGTGCTGAATATCTGACCTGACAGTAACAGCAAATACTTTCAAATCTCAGAAATAGCATTATCCTGCCACTTAGTGAAACATTGATTATATTGGACACTGTGATAATGAAAAGGGCATGATTCACCTACATCAGGTTTGACATGTATTCCAAACATTAACTCTCCTTCTCTGCCCACGTAGCCCTGGCTATCACCACTATGAAAGGGCTCACAGAGTATATGGCTCATTGACATGTTATCTTACATACTATTGCTTGGGATAAGGGAAACTTCTTTCTGGTAAAGGAAGCATGGCAGTAGGCATATGGCCCTGAAAGTCACTGGTCCTATTAACATACCCCAGTTTCTACAAGTTGCTCGCCTGAGAGTGATGGAAAGGCCACTTGAAAGATACAGTTGAGGTACCAGCTTGAAGATATAGTGTACGCATTAAATCATAAACTATTAGTTGGTGCAGAGTCCAACAAATAGTTTTTATTTAAGGAATACACTATATCACCAACAGGTGCCTCTACTGTACCCTTTGTCCAAAGAGTTGTGTATTTGAGTCCAGGAGTTGATGTGGGAATGGACCCCCTTACCAGTATTCCCAATGATATGCTTGGAGAATTTGTGCTTTCTTTCCTCATAACTTTAAGGTTGGTGGATCTAGGAATTCTAGCTCCCATAGCAGGGAAGATTCCACCAGGAGACATGGGAAGGGGCTCACCAAACACAAAGCTAAAACTCCTACCTGGTCACTTTGGACTTTTTGTGCCAGTAGATTGGCAGACATGGAAATGAGTTACCATCCTGGTAGGGGTAATTGACCCACATAAACATGAAGAATTAGAACAGCTACTATATAGTGAGAACAGGGAGAAGTATCTTTGGCATTCAAATAGTTCACTAAGTTGCTTGTTGGTACTTCCTTACCCAGTTATAACTGTAAATGGCAAAGTATGGCAACCACTGCCTGATAAGTGCTAGATGGGGGTGCCAGAACAGACTACCATAGTGTACTCCTTAAGTCATCTTTATCTAAACACAGCTTTTCTCCTAAAGAAATTTACAAGAGGAGAGTCAGTGAGACAAACTATCACTGCTGCTACTTCCTCCAGTCCTAAGACTATCTGACCCACCCAGTATTTCTTCTAGGCCAGCAAAAATGCTAGACAAAGGTGGGGGAAATACAGAATAGGAGACAAAATGGGAGAAAATAATCACTGATTTCACCTTTGGGACCAAAAGCAGCAATTGTGTTATAGTTTCTCAAAATAATTCTCCTCTTATAAATTTCCCCAGGCAGGAAGTTTATAGAATCATGAGAAAAAATGTGTCTGGTTGGAGTGAACATAACAAATGAAACTGAGCGTGTACAGAGTAGAGTGTGGTGGAAGCTCTTTTCTCCACTGAATGCATCCTCTTTTCAGACTAGAGCAAACCCTCCACTCCTCTGAACTTTGCCAGCTGCTATTGCCCCCAGCTAGGGGATTGAGAATTCTCCCCGGCTAATAGAAGCCACCTGACCGGAAATCAAACTCTGCATCCCCTCCTCACTCTCAGGGGATAGCCCACCTCCAGTGGATGCAGGGGTACGGAAGACTGACCTGCTTGCCTCAAGGTGAGAAAATTGGCCTGTGACTAGTTCTCTCCCTGCAGATCAGGTAAGGCTAGGCTTTACCAGAGATGACATCCTTGTCAGCTCTTTTCCCGTCTTTTCAGTTTCATAGTTTCCCTTATAGGTTTTTCCTGAAAGCATTTCTTAAATCATTTGCAATGGAATCTCTATCTCACATTCTGCTTCTAGGGAACACTACCTATGGCAATGGCTATTCATATTCATACTCTATAAAATTAAAAGGCACTCTTGACTCAAATACATTTCTATCCCTGCTCTCATTGGAACAAGGCTGAAGTACAATCTAAAGGGATCAGTAATGTATAATGACAACCATATTATGTTAGAATTTACCTTGGAAAAAATTAGGTTACAGATCCTGGATTTTTCTACAAATTCATCTATGGAAACTGTGATAAAAGGAATTAATTAGAAGCCAGTAAACAACATTCCTTATTTAATTCACATAACTGAAATTTTGTTTTAACTGGTATCTCCATTTTCTGCCATCTTTTTATTTAGTATTCCATCTCATATACTCATATGGTGTAGTTTTAGTTCAACTAACCATATTTTTCACTGTGGCAGAGAAGGCTGAACTATCTATTCTTCACTTCTTCAGTCGATAATGGAGCATCCCCTATTTAGCTTATTATGCAGATTCCCAGCTAGAGAGTATATTTCACACTCTTTCTTCAATGTAGCTTTCTTCATATTAATTTCAGTTCAATGGAAAGTGAGACAAAATGATATGAAGTATCCTCAAAAATAAAGCCACACTCCCTGGATTTCTCCTTTCCAACTTACCACCAGCTGTAAAATGGCTAGATTGCAGCATGTAACTTGACCTCAAGTGGAAGCCATATATTGAAGAGCGTATCAGTCTGAGCCCCTAGGTGATCATGTGGCGTGGAACTGTCTGCAGCTCCAAGACTACCTGCTTACTTCTGGACAGTTACATGAGTGAGAAATACATCTTCATTTTATTTAGCCAATGTATTTTTGAATGGCATAATTACAGCAACATCACCTATACTCTAGCTCATTGTGTTTCAAAGTACTTGTCTATGAGAAGATAAGGAGCTTGTGCAAGAATGTGAATCAATGCATTGCTTGTTTCAAAAAGAACATTCTGTTACAAGATAAAAACAAAATTTCAAGGAAAGCAACTGGTATGCTTAGTGATATAGTTGATTTCTACTCTGGCACCAGCTTCTTGTCTCATGGTAAATCAGCAACGAAATAATTCAAACAGGCTATTAATGGACCACACTTTGAGTAGCACTATTCTGAGTTAATAATTGCCAACATCAACTTAATGCTTCAGTTATACTGTATTCACTACTGTAGAAATTCTCATGTTTGTACCCTAATCATTGAATTATTTCTCCATGTGATGCTCATATTTTTCCCCAAAATTTTGCCTACATTTCTAGCTTAAGCTAATATCTACCATAAACCTTCCCTATTTATTTTAGAGGGGTAGCATAGCCCAGTCATTAAGAGCATGAACTCATGAGGGAGACTGCCTGTGCATTAAGCAATTTTCCTAAATTATCTGGACCTCAGTTCCTTATTTATAAAATAGTGGTTGGTAATATTTATCTCATGTGGTTGTTGACAGCATTATATGTTATTTAAAATCATTAAATCATGCTGTATGTAAGAGTATTTATTATTTGATTCCACATTTGCCCTTCTTTTCTTTTTGTCCAGATTAGTTAGGCAAGATTAGTTAGGCAATTGGAGCAAGAGAAAGAGTAAATCTCACTGATGGATTGCTTTACTACAGGTGTTCATCTTGAGAGACTTCTTGGTCCATCATTAGAATGTACCAGCACCATGTGTGACTGTCTGTCCACAAGATAAGTTTTGCCTCACACAGTCAGATCACTAGACTTCTGGCATCTGTGAGTTACTTTGTAGAGAAATAGCTTGGAGTATCTTTAGCCAACTTGAGGATATAGATTGCCCTACTAGATTACCTGAAGACCATTATATAATCCTAATTTAACACATTTCTGTGTATACTTGCTGCCTGGTTCCTGCAACTCATAAAGCCAATAGTTTCAGCACCGCTTACCATTCAGATCTCAACACAAATGTCAACCCATGCAAGTGGCCTTCCCTGATGATGATAGTCAAAGCTTCTTCCCACTCTTGTCTCTTTCTGAGTTTCCTGTCATATTTTCTTAATTACATGTCAGTACCTAAAATTATTTTCTTTGTGTGTATGTTTGTAATGTTTATATATATAAGTATAGTTATAGTTAATAGTAATTCTATGTCAACTAGAATGTAAGTTCTCTGAAGGTGAGGTCTCTGTCTTCTTTATTGCTACAACCCAATACTTAAGAAATGCTGAATAAATATTTGTAGAATGACTTAGGACAGGCACAGTAAACATTTAGCAATCGGCATAGACTAATTTGGATATATGTTTGAAAACAAACATAATGTTAATTGTATAGACATTTAGCATCTAAAACTCCTACAACACACCATACATAATCCCCAATGCTGTCTTTCATGGCAGTCCCAGAAGCTAGTTAATGAGTACACCATCACTTTAGAACTTAAACATTATTTCTCTCATATTATCATATAACTATTTATAAAGAACTTCATTTCTGTACTGCATTTTTAGATACAAAGCAATAGGAAGGCAGTTCTCAACCTATACTTATTGAATTTCCCCACACATAACCCAGCAGAGCAAATCTCAGAGTAGATGTTCACTTCATTTGCTCAAATGAAGATATCTTTATGCTTAGCAAAGGTAGAAGAGTAGACTAATTGATAATTCATTGCCACTGTTGAATGTCAAAGTCTTATTTGTGAGCTCGTTCTTGGTTCTGTATGTTCAACTCGGCCACTTATCTTCTTTATTGCAGTGCACATGTCTTTGGCATTCTAATTTCTGCTTGCAAAACTGGTGAAATAAAATGTTCACAGAAATAAGCAGATTTAATATAAGACTTGAAAAGAGTTGTCGTTGTCTCCAACACAGAGAGAATATGGATAAGCATGCTTTTTGGGGGAAGAGGATGACACTAGTTAATATTTATTTATACTTTCCCAGAATGTTGGGATGCTAAGCTGTTACAATACTTGCTGTTCCAAATATTTTTATTACTAACAACTTAATTTACATTATTTCAGGTATTCCTATCGGTATGTTCCTCAATATAGGCAGATTGTCTTTTTTTGTAACTGCAATCCTTTTATATTATGCTATTTTAGGGATTTCCAGATGCCCATTTCTGTTTTCACCTCTTTTCCTGGCAAGTTTTCCCTTTAGCCTGTTAATCAAAACTTTATTAACGGATGTTTGTATTTTCTATTTTATATTCTGAACATGTTTGTTCAGACTTTTCCTACTCTGACTTTTCTTATACTGTATGAAAATCTGAATACCAGCAAACATAATGTCTAACTTTTATTGATCACCTTCTATATTCCAGGTACTTGATTGATGTAGATTATTTCTAAGCTTCAAAGCAACCTGGCAAGACAGATATTATTATCCCTTCTTGATAGCTGAGAAAGCTGAGATGCAAGGTGTTTTATTTAGGCCCTGCTGAAGGTCACACAGCAAGGTAGTTTCAGATTTAGAATCCAAATCTGGCGTTCTCTCTGCAGTTAAATTATGTGCGTGTGTGCATGCGCACATGTGCATGTGAAGTTTTTTGACAATGATTATGAAGGGTAAAGGATCTTCCCTCCAAAAAAGCTAAGCATTTAATTGCACTTTCTTACTTTGTTCTGTTTCTATTGTTTTAATTTTTAAGTCAGAAAATTAGAAAGCAATTATTTCCCTTTTCATTCTCCAATCTTATTGTTCCCTGCATAACTGAAACTGCAACAGATATTTACTGGTTTAAGTATCTAGCACTATAGATATATTTAAACTTTGAAAAAGGAATTCAGTTAAAATTGCTTTAGGCAGTTTATGGCTACAGTGCCAGTCTAGTGAAAGTACATGTAACTCAGCTGTCACACAGGTACAGGTGATGCACATGGTTTGTATTTGTGGAATATATGAGGCAAATTTACTTTTAAGTAAACATAAACAAAGCAGGCAGAAGATTTCCTGAAGCAATGAACAAGACTTAGAAAGGGCAGTAAAATCTGATGAAATTATGTTCCTTGCAAGGGCAGAAGCACCCTTGGATATTTCCCTCCAAATAAGTAAAAATTGCAAATTCGCAATCAAGCTAAAAAGAACATAGATTGAAAGAATATCATACCATTTACCTTATTATAATTCCATATTTTTATAGGATGCATTAAAATAACTTTTGTTCTTATTATATCTAGTTATTCAAAGTCTACATTGCCTTTTTGCTACTAAAATTTTGCTTTGCTCACTATTCTCCACATCCTTCACTGGCAAGGACACCATGGAATTATCAATTCAAGATTGATGATCCTCATCCAGGTCACGTGCCTATTCTAGATAACTAGGACATTTCTAGACCTTAATAGTTGAAACTTTAAAAATGCCCAGTGCTCATGATAGAAGGATTATTTTACTAATTACAAACATTTCAGAGGCCATTGGTTTGCTTTTCATTTCCCTTTTGGTATTCCCCTGACGGTTTAAAGAAGAATGCTATAAAAGGCATCTTTTAAAACACATTTTTCCTTTCCAATTGGCCTGTGTTGTTTCTTAATTTTTTCTGCTTATTGAGTCTTGCTCTGTGTATGTCTTTAAAATGCCCTTTCCAAGTTGTATTGTACAGGGTGGTGACTTTCAAGTTTTGTCTCTCAATGTCATTTAAGCCTAATACAATCCATGTACACTGATGAGGAAGTTTAATAGATTAAGGGTGTTTATTCTCAGTGCTCCAATCAACAAATCTTTATGGAAAAACTGAGAGACATCTTTATGAAGGCTTGAACTCTCCTTGTTCCCCATGTAAAATCCATGCAGTCCCTCAACTTCTTGGGAAAGTGTTCCTCGTGTGAGTACACTGATCCATAATAAATGCACTCACTACAGAACTCCTGTAGCACTTAATAGACTGATTTGTCAAACTTTGCTACAAAGTACCCTGAATTTCAAAGGTTTATAATGCCAACCTCTGGGGGTAGGACTGGATGGAAAGGAGCCCATGGTTCTGTGTCTGTCTGGGGTGACAGCTTCAAGAGTACTGCTTTAGACACAAAATGTTTCTAATTTACCCTAAATGTCTATCTATTCTTCACCATATTATACTCATGTTTATTTAAGTAAGTTAATACTACTGGTATTTTCCCATGAGGTAGTCTCATAGTAAAACTGACCCCAAGAGAAGGTGGCATATTTACTTTGTAGCGCTATCATTTTTTTTTCTTTTTTTTTTTGAGACGGAGTCTCACTCCATCACCCAGGCTGGAGTGCAGTGGCACAATCTCGGCTCACTGCAACCTCTGCCTCCTGGAGTCAAGTGATTCTCCTGCCTCAGCCTCCCAAGTAGCCGGGACTGCAGGCACACACCACCATGCCTGGCTAATTTTTGTATTTTTAGTAGAGACGGGATTTCACCATATTGGCCAGGCTAGTCTCAAACTGCTGACTTTGTGATCTGCCTGCCTCGGCCTCCCAAAGTGCCGGGATTATAGGAGTGAGCCACTGCACCCAGCCAGCTCTATTTTTAAACTAATGACTGTGTACTTTTGAACATAGTCCCTTATGTTATTATTTGTGTTTTAATGAATATCCTGGCAGGGAAAAGAAAGCCAACTCAATAAAATGAACTGTATTTTTAAACTCTTATGAATCAGTTGTTCTAATACAGTATTATGCACTCATATATGACATTGAACTTATCAAATGTTTCTGTAAGGCACAAACAAAAAATTCAGTTTCCTTTTTCATTATTATACTTGGATTAAATGCTCAAATATATTTTATGATGATTTTAATTTAGAAAGTATTGCCACTTTATTTTATTTTCAAGGGAGCTATCTGCAAGTAATTTTTTTTATGACTGAACCTCAATAAGTGGTTTGTGTGGGGAATTTGACCCTTGACAAGAACATGTTTGCAACTGATTAACAGGGAAAACAATCCAAGACTTAAGTCATCATTTTTGGATGTCAGAATGACTGACAGCCTCATATAATCAAAATGTTGCTTCAGTGTAAATTAAAGAATCAAAATCATGAGAAATTATTGCCATATTTGGTGGAGGAGATATTCCTGAAAGGTATATAACATACTATCGCTAAGTTAGGAGGAGAAAGATAACATGGCAAAATATAAATTTAAATTTTGATTAGGAAAAAATATTTAAGATAATAATGAAATCTGTCCTCTCTCATCTGTGATATGATAAAAACTATACTGACTTAATTTCACTGAAAAGACTAAAAGATGAAAGAATTAAAGTGAAAAGTGCTATTACAGAACTCCTATTTCCCCAGCAATGGGGGTAATTAGTCACAGATCACTCTTTCGTTATTCTCAGTCTCACTCACTCCTACTTCGAAGGTCTTGCTTTTCACAACCATGAAGCTCTTCTGGGCTTCCCTCTCTCATAGGTAGATTATTTTCCTATCTTCAGCACCTCCCTATTCTTACCTGTCCTGAGTAAAGGCTTCTGGTGTACTCTTCATTGACCAACATTTTTTTAAGTCACTTCACTCTCAACTTCAGAGCCTATAGCTTGTTGTTCCTAATTGCCTATCAAATTCAAATTACAGTGGCAGCATTCAAAGCTTCCCGCACTGACTTGTACCTGCTTCTATAGGTTACTTACCATTACATCACTATTTACTATCTGAGAAACAGATGTGCCACTTTTCTTGTTCTTTGTACACACAGCCCTCTGCTTTTGGTTATTCTTTAATGATATTTTGAAGAGAGTGGCTATTGTACTATGCTAGGTTCCAGGGTGCAAATATGAACCAAACAAAGTCTCATTCTTTAAGGTTTGCAGGAATCAGTATATGACAAGCATAAGTGTCTGCAATTCTGTGTGGTAAGTGCAGTAATATAATTATAAATAAGTTGTAGGGTGGTAAAAAGAGAAATAAATATGAAGACAAATTTGTAACACTATTTTGTTCACATAACAAGCAGTTATTGTGGCTTATAAGTTCCATGAAGGCAAGAATTTTCTTTTGATTATGTAAGTACTTCAAAAGCATAGGTTGAATAAATTCACACTGAACATACTGTCAGATCCTTCTAAAGTGAGGAGTTACCCCTGAAATTTCATTTGATGTAGAGTTGATGATAATAGTATACTTGCTTTTTTAATTGTAAAACCACCATCTTGTGGTTGAAATCACCCTTGAGGAGGAGTAAGAAAACCTAGGGCTTTAGTCCTGACTTGTTCCTAATAAGCCATGTGACTTAGAACAAGGCATTTCACTACACTGAGTGTCATCCATTTTCTCTCTACAATGAATAGGTTGAGCTAGATGTCCCTAATTTCTTATTCTGCTCTTACAATCTTTAATTCTCTGTGTCAGTATTCCTTCATTCCTTCAACAGACACATACTAATAGAATCTACAGTGTGTATGCCACTAGATCTTAAGATTTGTTTATGTCACAGCTATTCAAATTTCATCATTTCTAAACTGGGGCTGGATGTCTTGACAGCTGGAATCAGCAAAGGGATTAACCACCTAAGGTTAGTGCTCTGTGGTTTATTTTCCCACTTCTTTAACCCTGGAGACGTTGGCATGGGGAGAGAAACTTCAGCTCTTTGAGCATTCTCCTAGTCACACAGAAAAGCAGGAATCCACATCATGTTTGGCATGTTTGTTGATAGTGAGACTCTGGAGTGACTGAGTGAAGACTGGAACTGAGCTAAGCTGACAGTTTGAGAGCTTAAAAGCATCGATTAGCTCATGTGTAAGAATCTGACCTTCTAACTTCCTCCATATTGTGGTTTTGGTTCCCATAATGAGAATTATAAAAAAAAAAAAAAAAAGCAAAAAAAAAAAAAAAAAGAAAGAAAAGAAACCCTATTCTTTTACACTGTGTAGTGATTATTCTACCAAAATAATAAAGGACATGAATTAATGTACACGAGTGAGTACAATTTTAAGAGTCTTACACACTAAGGACTAAACTGACAAGGATACAGTCTGGGGATTGCATTTCATATGTGTCCTCAGTACACATTCCCATGTTAATCACCTGTGAAAGAATCAATTTCCAGTGAGAGATGAGCACAAATGCGTTTTGTGCTCTACTTATCAGGGTACCCATTGACAGATATTCATATTGCAGTTTTTAATTAGGTGACAAAGCAGCTTCACATACATGGTAGTTGGTGCTAATGAAACTTTACATGAGGAACCAAAGGAAATTAAATAGATGTGAATATTATCATTTTTCACTTTTTCTTTTATTTGTGGTAACAAGAATGTGTGAATTGAAAATCTAAAGAAAAATAATAGTTGACTTAGTTTTAAACATGAAATATACTGAATAAGAAGTCACACTTGTAAATACAAAAGAGTACTTTAATATTTTATTTTGACACTTTGTAACAATAACAGAAACACACCATGTTTATCTATTCTAACTCTCTAGCATTGTGATGAATGGGCCATAAAAAACCTACCAAGTAACGCTGGTTTTTTAAATAAAACTAAGTTCATATTTTATAGAGAAAAGGGTGACAATGCTTACCATTTTAAAATGTGTTATTATAGATATGAATATGAAAAGAAGAGATAACCACCAGGGAAGTGAACTAGTATTATGCACTTTATTGTTACTTCACAACTTGAAGACTTTTGGACATGATGTGTTTGGCAAAGTTCATCAGATTTGCTGCAGTAAGTCAACTTTTGTCAAAATCTCATGTATCTGAATAATTCTCCCTTTAACTTAACTACTCTATTTTCTATTCCTTGTTTTTCTTCTTAAATATATTTGAGAATATATGATATTTAGTTAACAAAAATGTTTGCAACTTTAAAATTTCAGTGAAAAGTAACCATATAAATAATATAATTTCATAATAGCAAAGGGAGTCTTTCAGTAGGAAAACATTTACTCATGTATCATTTAAGTACTCTTACAGAAAACTATATTTTGATAATGTATATGAAAATTCCTAAACTTATATAAACAACAGCAATGATGAAAATTTGTAAACTCTATGTTATCTTTTCTGAGTTATTCTCTCTCTTATGATGAACTTCCTAGGAACTTACCCCTATGATATTATGCAAAATTAAAATTATCAGCACTTGCAAATTATATATATATATATATATATATTTCTTATATCTTCCAAGAATGATGTAATTTCTTACAGAATAATCCCATATTTTAATTTCTAATTTCCATTTATACCCCTAATCCACCAGCACTGTATTCTATATTTAACAAACATTCAATCAATACTTAGAATCATCATGTTGCCCAAATCATATTGGAGCTGGCATATCTTTGATTATATTTATTTTTTAAGAAAAGTGTCACTGATATCCAAACATATTAATAAATACAATTCTTTATCTTAAAAATTTCAAATAATATCAAGAAATTTAGTTCATCATTAAAAAAAAGTTTTTCCTTTTTTCTACAGATAGAGGAAGAGTAGCGCTGGAGGCCATTGAAGGATTCTTTCTATGTAAGCTGTCTAAAATCTTTGTTAATTTGTCTGATTTTTATTATTACTGTGCCATAAATATTATAGATATATTTTATATAAACATTTGTGACAAAAGAATTGATTTACCATCAATAATTTATCAATTTTATAAAAGTATGTGAGATCTTTTGAATAATCACCATTTGTGGGACACTTGCTTTGTCTTTATACAATTGTATTTTGTGTGTTGATATATGCGCATAATACTTATGCTTCTATCTATTTACCTGTCTTTCTAAATTACATATCAAATGGTAGATGGTCAAGTAACTTATTGGGATGGTAAATAGAATGTAGTTCAGTGTAAACACAAACGGTAAAAAGCTGCTTAATAAATCATCAGAATATAATATGACATGTAGCAGTCAGTTTTAAAACACATTTTTGAAATGTATGTTAGTGAATAATGAGAAATCTCTCCACTGGCTTTGAGAAAAAATTTATTTTGTTCTTTGCATGCCCTAGAACATCTAGCCTTACCTTACACATAACAGATGGACAATGAACATGTGTTGGATGTATTTCTGACAATGTAGACAGAGTGGCATGTAATATGATTTATGGAATAAAGAGAAACAAACAGTCTTGACCAGAGGGAGAGAGGATGACAAAAAGTCTGTTTCACAGTAATTTCTCATTAATGGTGATGCTACTTTCTCAGCCGACTGCTTGGCAGGGGACTATCTGATCTGCTCTCTGCAGCCAGCCTATTGATTTTGTGGGTCGATGTAATCTGATGCATAAAGAGGCAAGAAAATGGGAGGCAACATTTGCCTAGATAACTGCCAAGAAGCAGATAGTTTACATTTGATGCATCCAGGCTAAGTGGCCCCACATGAAGTTGAATTATTAGTAAAGCAATCCTAACACTGACAATTCTCTTTTTCAGTAGGTCTAATATTAGTGAAAGATCTGTTAGATTTAAAGAAAAGTGAAGATATGCTTGAGAGGTTAACTCTATATGGATACAAGGTGAAAATTGCTTTTCCTTTCTTATATACACAATGTTGCACATATACATATCAAAGTCTAATTATAAATCTTAGATTCCAGTGGCTCTAGGTTTTTATTTCCCTAGATATCTACTGTCTAACCATTTTACTGCTAGTTAGTGCTCACACTGCATGCAAGTTAAAATGATTAGCTTGGAGAAGACACCAACAATAAAACAACATCTTCAAAGCAAAAATGTTAAACCAACCAAGCAACCAACCAAACAAAAACCCAGAAAAGCAAGCAAAAAATGCAAACAATTCATAAAATAAGCAAAAATTGTTGAGGAAGAGGATAAAAGTATTGTATAAAAGAGGATTTTGTGTTAAATTCCAGTTTTAATATGTCCAGCAGAGTGCCTAACACAAATTATACACTCACAAATTGCTAGTTTCTTTCCTTCCACCCCAAGAGAGAATGTTAAATGTTACCTGCCATAGAGGGTCTTTCTGCTCAGGGAAGAGCTCAAAATACTGGTGGGCCAGTTGCACTGGAGGCAGAGTTTGCAATTTCAGGTTGGTCCAGCTCTGCACAAAGTTGACCAAGTTCACAAAGGTATATAACCCTAGGCGGTCATTTCCATAGTTTGATAAATGGGTCATGAAAATGCTGATCTGAAAGATAAATAAAAATGACCACAAAAATATCATATGCTTAAGCTTAAAAGTAGCAGTACAAGCCCCAGGCAGCACCTCACCTCACCTTGGAATTTCACAAGAAGTACAATGATCTTTTTAAGTGGAAAGCCACACATTTAATTTTCATCTCAAAATAACACTTAAACTCACTTTTAAAATTGAAATTGAAATTGAGAGTGTCATTTCCTCACTGTTCTTCAGAAGTATAGCATTACTTTGCATATCAGTTTTGCTTATTGTGGAGCCAATACCATCAAACTTCAATCTAGTAACTTTCAGACTAGTGAAGAACCAATATTAGACCAGTTCTAAAATTAAACAATTTTTCCAGAACTTTCCTGGTGTAGATATGTGTACAGGTTGAAATAGAATCAGATTCAAGAAAACGTGTTTCTTTGTGGTCTAATTAAACGAATTTTATTTCAGTAGAGACTGTAAATGTTTGCACAGAAACTGATTGCATTTAGCCAGAAACTTTTCCCCACTCATTAATCCTTTTACAACTTTTCATACCCCAATATTAACTCTAAAAATATCATGGCATTTCAGTGTTGTTCTTTTGTGTATCACAGACAAAGAAAAAGTGAAATTAGATTAATTGGTATGGAAAGAGCAAGCAAAAATTCAAATGTTATTACAAACATAATCTAATATTTAGTTCATTAGGCATTGCAGCAGGGATTTAAAAAATACTAAATAAAAGAGAAATTGCAAAATTCTGATTGAAATTGCAGAGATTGTTTACGCAACTCATAAAAAGAGAGTTCATTACTTTGTGACAAGTATAATTTTGTACTTGTTTCTCAATTTCATGATATTTTCAAATTTAATTGTCTTAAAAATTCATTTTACTATTTACTGTATTGATCTGTATTGTAAATGTTTTATAACAACCCAAATATTATAATGAAATAATTTATTAACTTTATTAGAAATGTAAGGCTAATATAAGGTTATAAATAATAATATTAGAACAAATGTAACATCTGAAGCTGAACAGAAGAATAATATAGAAGAAAAGTCAAGTGTCTCATGGCTAATATTTGTATGGAAACTCGCTGACACTTTTTTAAGGGTTTATGTTTCTTGGTGTGGTTATTTGGAAATAAAATAGGTTTGCAGAACTATTCCAATGTTAATTTTATTGACACCTGGTTAGATACTAGCCATGCAATAAAGACTATATGCAGACCTTCTGTTCCCATGATCTAATATGTCACTGGATAACTATAAATGTCTAAAGAGGAGGCCTTTTATCTTAAAAAATAATAGAAGCATTATCTTGTACCAGAATTTAGAAAATCTGCTCTGGCAAGCCACTGTAAGTTAAAACCCCACTATAGGTTAAAAACATCTAAACATTAGTTGATAAAATGGTTTTACTTGAGATTCATATGGAATCATTTAAACAAACACAGGCATATACGTCACTGGCCAATGTTACGCTGACCAATCTGATAGATATCAGTTCGTTGTTTGAATGCCCTTTTTATTGTGGAAAAGATAGTCTCTATTATGTGTCATACTAGAATACTGAAAAAAATATCTGAAGAAAACCTATTAAAATGATCAAAGTCACACCTCATCATGGTTGAAGGTAGAGAAGAGAATGTGGCTTTAATGTCTCTAACTTAGATAAAATCTTACCTAAAATTCATATAGTGTTTGCTTACTATGTACTAAGCAGGATTCTAAGCCCTTTACATATATGAAATAATTAAATCCTCTCAATGCTGTTACAGATAACTACTGTTATTGTCCCCTTTTACAGATGAAAAAAAATGAAGCACAGAGCAGTTAAGTAACTTGTTCAAGTTCTACATCTAGTCAGTGGCAGAGCAGGACTTTAAAACCAGGCAGTCAGATTCCCAATTCTGACATATAATATAACTGAAACCTTCGCCAAAACATATATATACATTGAGTTTGACATCCGTCATTTTTTTTCCTTTTGCCCTTTTCAACAACAACAAAAAAGCAAGACAAAGAACATATTTTTATAGAAGGTAGTAGAAAACTATATAAGTATTATCCTGGCAGCTGAAAGTTTTTATTTTTCTTTTTAAATTGGAATGAAAAAAGAAAAAAATATTTTGGAAACCTTAAATGAAAGCTTTTAAGACAATGAATTATAGCATCTGAGAAGAATATTACTAATAGACTGCAAATTTATCTTTGAAGACAATATCACTCATCATATTTCTAGTCCATTTTTTATCCTTGGAGTATATTCAAATCTTTTATTTGAAACATCAAAAAAGACTATAGATATTTTAAAAATATTATTTATTTGATTTACCTAGGTAGAAATTTAAGTTAAACCCCTTAAATTTAAGTTAAACCACTTAATCTCTTTAAAGTTAAACCTCTAAATATTAGTTGACAATGATTTTAATTGAGATTCATATGGAATCTCAAGTAAAATTTAAATCATTTAAAAATTTAAATTATTTAAAAATTTTAAATTATTCCATATGAAGCTCAAGTAAAATCATTATATCAACTAATATTTAGGGGTTTAACTTAAATTTCTACCTAGATACATTATATAAACATAACACTGTCCAATGTCCCAATCTCTCACTCTTGAATTCTTTTATCTCAAATAGAAAGTTCCCTCTTGGCAGGACTTAGTTACAGAGTTTCTGTAACATAGCATGGTATCAGTAGTTGATGACCATATAATTGCAATTATTGTCATAAGAACTTCTTTATAATCACCACAAAATAATATGCATTCGATCCCAATAAGTATGCATTTATCTCATGTCACTACTGTAATTAAGAAATAAGACGGTGTAAGTAGCATGCTTCAGGATAATTATGGTTTTCCAGGACTGAAAATAGTATGAAAAACCAGGCTGCAGGCTAAATGCCTGAAGAAAGATAATAATGTCCTAGAAATCTACCACCTGCCTTCTTAGCGTTGTTATTTTAAGAAGGAATTGTAAATTTGTATTGTGCTAAAGTACACATAAAATGTACCATCTTCATCATTTCTAAGTATGCAGTTCTGTGGCATTAAGTGCATTCACATTGTTGTATAACCAGCATCACTATTCATCTCCAGAACTTTTCATCATAACAATATTTTTTATTTTGAATAAAATCATGCAGATATTATTGAAAAAAAAGAAGGAATTGTAAGACACCTGTGAGAGTCTAAAGTCTGACAAAATTGTAAGTAAGAATATTACTTTGAGAGTATCATAAAGAGTATTTTTATATCATAAGCAGATGTATATTATCATTTTATAAGGGTATTAATATAGGCTTTTAAAAGATTTTCGCAGCAGACTGGTTCTAAGTCATTTTTCCAGAACATTCTTAGGAGGATAAGCTTTGTTTGATGGAAAAAAAAGCTTAAAACTGAATGCAGGGCAAATGGAAAATCTGTCTTTTGAAGAAAGCAGAGTCTGGAGATATGTGGTTCTAAGCTGAGGCATGCTGCTGCATTTAAATTTTCCTTTACTGAGAATAAAAACAAGCACGCCATCCATATTGGTTGCAATCACTGTTGTATGGGGCAACATGTGCACATGCCTTACTGGTTAGAAACAAATTAGTGCTGGTATATGGTCAATTGGTTGCACTTTAAGAAAAACAATTCTGCAAGCACAGCTTAACTGTGCATATCTGGCTTGCTAAAATCACCTATTGTGCAGACACAGCATTTTAGTTTTAGCATTTCTGGGCAAATGGCTTCTTTAAACAAACAAATAAAACCTATTTCAGAGAGTATAGGTGTATAAGACAAATTAAAAATGGATGTTGTTGAGGTATAAATAAGAGAATTCAAAAGATATGTGGTATGAGATAGCAGCAAATAATTTTTCACAGACTTATGTTGCTACTATTTTTTACTGTTTATCTTTTTTTATATATTTATTTTGATTATTATTTTCTTATTGCATACTAAAAATAATCTTTCTCAACAGTGTACTCCCAAAAGTATCATCTGGGGAAAGTATGACAGTACTACATGGATAAAAATGGTTTATATATACAACCCACTGAACCTTGAAATATTGCAGCTCAGAGATATGCATTGATTCAAACAAGCAGAGCTTTATCTTTCATATGAAAAGGACAGGAAAGGAAATCTTGTTCAATGGATGAATTGAAGAATAAGATGTTCAGTATGTGCTAATTTCAGTAGGCCAATTGCAGCAGGCCTTCCAAGAGGGCACCAAGGTCTGGGTGCCACTGCTTCTGGCATCAAGCACTCTGGGCTGCCTTTATCTTGTTGTTGGCACTTCTACCTATGTTTCTCCCTCAACTCTCAAGGCTCTCAACTTCATTATAACCAAACATAAAACAAGTCTAAACTTTCTTATCTGTTGTAAAAATATACAAGCAAGCTTATGGGCACGTTCATAGTCTATTCATTAGAAACATAAGCAGTTTTTCATTAACCTGATTGTCAGATACAATACATATACTCAAAATATGGGAAGACATTATCTATGGAATAAATCTGTTTAATGATGTATCTAAAGTTCAAGGAAAAAGGAAGGTTTATGTATCAAAATGTATAAATCTTGATAATAGGGAATTGAGTAAATATAATTGAACTTTATGGATAATCCTTAACTGTGGGTAAACACACTGTCATAGTGACAAATAGAATGGTGGTAAATAAATTAGGCAACTGCTTATCCCCCTGAGTATTTAATTGCAAATTATACAATTAATTGTTTTTTGTAACATTTTGTGTTTGACTTATGAAGCTGCTAATATCCAAAATATAAGAAGAGAAGAAAAAAGGAAAGAACAAAATAAAAGTGAGAGGCCTTATTTTATCCACAAAATAAAGCATTACTCTCCAGGTTGAGTCAGAGTGTTTTCACTGCCAAGTCCAGAATAGTTTCCTTGCTTTTCCTACTTGTATGACAAATAGAATGGTATTGTAAACTGTATGATCATGAATATCAGTAGCCAGAATATATTATACAGCATTTTTAAATTGAAATTAAAAATCATTTTTAGAGCATACATTTTTAGTTAAAGTACACATTGAATATTTGGGTACTTAGTCCTGTGCCTTACAGTGCCTTTAAAAGTCAAATCATGTGCAGAATAGTCAGATATTTGGTTCCTAGGAAAAAAATGCACAATCACAAACACAGGATGAAACAACGTCTTTGCAGAGCAAGAAGAGAGCCACCCTGTTTTAGGGCAGCTTGCTTTGTGCTCACGCTGCAGCACAGTATTTTTCAAGATAGGCATTAAATATTAGCAGTCGGTTTCCATTTTTGCCTTTGTGGCTCTGATAGCGTGCCCCTTTTCAGAATAGTTCATTGTGTTTAAAAATATGTCCATTAGCTTGTTAAATTATTGATTATGCTTTTAGTTCTCATAAAATGTGAAGATAGATGGAATATAGGGAAATACATCCCTGATGGCTCATCTGATGGGCTTTGGCATTGTACTCACATTTTTCTTATAAAAGGTAATTTTGTGTCTTTATTTTATTCTAAAAATAGTCTGGAACCACACAAGGGATATTAAGAGTCAGACTAGGCTTAACATTACTAATATGAGTGCCAGTAACACTTCTTGATTTAAACACACATAACTATTGATAATAATTGTAGGCAACCCAGTCTTAGGCAACTCTTCAGGCCTGGACAACTAATAACCTGGTAAATGTCAACATCTATGTTCTTAGATATCAAAAGTAAGGAAAGTTTGTCCAAACCTAATATAACTATATTAATCTTTTGCTCAATCTAAAAATGGTTCTCAGCTTGGAGTCTACTATTTAGATACATCATTTTGTTTTTCTAAAAGTGAAACATTCCAATGAATCATTAATTAATGATTGATTGTAACATATTATTTGTTGAATGTTAATGTTAATTTACTTATATAACTTTACAAAGTGGTTTTATGTGCACTTTTGTTGTGTTACTAGGAACTAAGAAACTATCTTATTTATGAGAAAAGGAAATGAGGATCAAGGGTTTCAGGTGACTGTCTGAGTTTATATAGGGAATTCTAGCAAATCCAGCATTCAAAGTAGTCAACAAGCGGATTGCACGCTTAATGATTTGTTAAGAGAGTAGTTCCTATATTAAGTGTTATTAACACACACACACACACACACACACGCGTGCACGCGCGCAAGCCTGGGCATAGGAATTCAGAATCAATATTCTTTCTTATTCCATGGTTCTCCCAGAACTTTGGCTACAAATTCATCAAACTTCCGTCTATTTTCTGCTTCATTTTATTCTATTATTTTATTTACCTGGTGAATTTTATTTATAACAACCCTATATTGCAACTTACGATATTTCCTCATAAGCTTTTCCTAGAATGGATTAAATCTAAAATATCACTTACATATTTTTACTTTTTTGGAAATGAAAATAAAATTTGATATTTCAATATGTATATCTATGCACACACATGCATGTCAGCTGATTACTGACTCTAGACACTTTAAGATAATAAGTACTTAAGAGAGAAATGATTGTTTCACTTGGAAAGATTTTAATTCTCTTGCAGCACTAAAAATAGATGCCAAGTTTTTCACAATGGAACACAATAATAGATTTCCACTAAGAAATGTGTTCTATAAATAAAAAGTAACTCTGATCTTCCAATTTCAAAGAGACACATTTTATTAATTTAGGTAGATGTTTCAAGATTTATTCCTGTAAGAACTACACTTAGAAGGAGAAATAGGCCGGGCGCAATGGTTCACGCCTGTAATCCCAGCACTTTGGGAGGCTGGGCGGGCAGATCACCCGAAGTAAGGAGTTTGAGACCAGCCTGGCCAAACCTGTGAAACCCCATCTCTACTACAAATACAAAAAGTAGCCGGGCCTGGTGACTAGCTCCTGCCTGTATTCCCAGCTACTCAGGAGGCTGAGGCAGAAGAATTGCTTCAACGCTGGAGGCAGAGTTTGCAGTGAGCTGAGATCATGCCACTGCATTACAGCCAAAAAATGAGAAGTAAGAGAAAGAGGAGAGGAAAAAAAAAATAAAGAAGGAAAGAAAATGGAAGAAATAAAGAAAGAAAGGAAGAAGAGAAAAGAAAGAGAAAAAAGAAATGAAAGGAAAAAGGAAAGGAGAAAAAGAAACAAAGAAAAGCTCCAGAATCAAACACATCTCACCATGTGTAGGTCAGATGAGTAGTAAAAAGGTTAGGCTACTAAAAATTGTTTCGCTCATGTCTTTAAATCTCCACTTACAGTAAACTTCAGTTATTGATCTTTCCACTCAGGCTACTTCCCTAAGCACAGGAGCTCTATTGCTCCATGTGACTTTCAGGTTTCATATAAGATGTGCATCACCACAAGCATTTATAATTAATCACTAATCCTAGTTGATGTTTTAACATCCCATACCCTTGACTGTTAAAAGGAAATCTTTTTTTGGATGTGTGAAGAACTAAGTTTTTGGTTATTAATTTGGAGCAGGCTTCATGAAGAAAATAATAGTAATTAAAGAGTTAACAAATAAAAAAAGGGTATCGATTAAAATATCCCAGAAGTTTGTATTTAATAAGTCTGAAAATATTTAAAAAATCAGATTGCTATAATATTCATATTGTTTTGATTTGCACACAATGGAGCAATACAAACATGAAATTTGAAATTAGAATGCCTACGCTTGAGCACTGGCTCTTCATTAGTGTATCAATTAACTTCTCTGAATCTCAGAGATCTCTAAGGCTAAATGAAAACAATAATTTAGTTTATAGGTTTGTTGTGATGCCCAAATGAGTCGAGGTATGCCAAAACATTTTATAAAATGAAAAACATTGTATATTATCACCATGGATATTCAGTTAAAATAAATTTAGAATAATTAATATATCAAATATAATTTAACTTATTTTATTTATATCTAATAGATCATATCTTTTGTAAGCAAAGCCAGTGTTTCTTTGTTCCTCTGCTATCGTCTGTATATACCAAGGCCTATGATAATATAATTTCTGGTTAAACCAGTAAATTTTGGATACGTGTATACCAGAGTGAAAATGACTAACTTTGATACCTAATAAATGAAACTCTTTTGTAGTCTTTACGTTATTTTTAGGTTTTATTTTATTTTTAATTGATAAATAATAATTGTATATATTTATGAAGTACAACGTGAAGTTTTGATACATCATTGTGGAATGATCAAATCAGGCTAATTAGCATATCCATTACCTCAAATATTTACCTTTCTTTGTGATGAGTACATTTAAAATCTTCTTTTAGCTACTTTGAAATATACAATACATTATTATTCGCTATAGTCCCCAGGCTGTGCAATAGGAAACTAAAACTTAATCCTAATAAATGCAAGTTTTATCCATCAGAATCACCTCTGACAGCTGCAGTTAAAAATCAATATAGGAAGAGATTGTTAAATGGAATCCTTTGTTTCATTTTCAAAAGTTCAATTAGTAGATTTGAGAAGCAGACATCACTCAAGGGTAGTATGATGAGGTGATGTCTTGTTTTTCCCCTCCTCTACACACCTAAATCAAAGAGCACCCCCATCCCTCTTCCCCATTCCCTTGCCCTTCAGGCCACTCACTACCTGACATATTATGTATTTGTTTGGGTATTTCCTGGCTATTCCCTCAGTCTCACATTACATTTTAATCTCCTTGAATACAGGGACTCTGGTGCTGTTGTTTACTGCTGTATCTTCAATGAGTAGTAAAATACCTGGCACATAATAGGTATGCAAAAAATATTTATTGAATGAACAAATAAATCCTTGATAACATACACTTCTTTGCCAGTAGAAAATATGGAGTAATTTAATTGCCTTCCAATTATTCCCCAAGGTCTGAAAACACAAGGGGAAAAACAAAACACTATCCTAAAACCCTGAAAACAGCTGGCATTTAACAGGATACAATGAATTGTTAAATTACATTTTTTATTTGTGTTTCCCTTTCCATTATCAGACTAAATGCAACTGAAGTTCCATTCTGCATCTGATTATTTACCAGTGTCCCAGTTTTTCAGTCATAATATTTGGTTAGTGCATTATTAACAAATCAAAACTGTTTTGATTCAAGACTGGCTAGAGTGTAAACACCGACCTTCCTCAATAGAGAAGTTGGGCAGTGACTTCGTCAAAGCAGCAGTAAATAGGGCAGCTGTTCTAACTGAGAACAGAAGGCTCCTGCTATATTTCAGTGAGCAGGTGCTTTACTCTCTATTTTTCTTGTACATTAATAAAGGCTTAGTCATTAAAAGGCAACACATGCTCACAACCGTACAGTTGTTGCATATATTTGTGTTTTGTTTTCTTTTAGTAGGCAAGTCAGAACTGGGATTTTAGATGTCATGGCAATTACATTTTAGAATACCCTGATTTTCAACAAAGATCTCCCAATTTTACATGATGGGAGACAACCAGAGCTGCTTTCAATCTGAGTTATTTACCATTACTCTTTTTAAGAGATTAAATCTCCCTTTCAACCATGTTGCAATGATGCCACATAAAAGTCACTGAAGTGCAAATTCATAACCCCAGGAATAATCATGGGCAGTTCAGCCATGGGGAGGAGAAAACATGTCCATTAGTAATCAGTGTAAGCTTCACTGACAACCTCAAATAGAGTTCAACAGTTTTCAATGAAGAAAATAATGTCACATTTAGTTATTCAAGCAATCAACCAATTGAGAAACATTTATTAATGCTTAATAAGTGCCTGGCAGTCTATTAGAAACTAGAGATATAATACTAAATAAATTATCCATAGTTTTTGCCTAAAGATGCTTAGGGTTAAATGGGAACATAAAAAAGAGAACAGCAGATTATGATACAATGTGAAATGGAAATTCTGTTGTTCTATAATATCACACAGCTGCTTGGGGCAGGGTACTGATCTAAGACTTGCAGATGTCTTCTTGAAAGAGAAACATGGGAACTAAGTTCTGAAGGATGAGTAGAGAATCTTCACGTGAGACAATGGGTTGGAGTAGGAGCGGGGCTGAGATTACGTGTTAAGACAGAACGCATAGTGAAAAGCAATTGGTAACACAGTGCCTTCTAGAAACTAAAAGTTATACAATGTGGTTCATGAAAGGAAAAGAAAGAGACCAGCTCATATAAATCTTTTAAACTGTTGAGGGCTTGGACTTTAATCCTAAGAGCCATAAGGAACCATTGAAGGATTTTGAGTAGGGAGGGATCATAGTCAGATATGCATTTTACAAATTCTTAGATCCTGAGTGTCTTATGAAGAAGAGTGAAGACTGGAGGTGGGGAGTCATTTAGAAGGTTGCTGTAGGTGTATGATTGAGAGGTGATGACTACTTGAACAGTGACAATGGGAAAGGAGAGAAATTAAATAGATTCAAAATATGTTAAGATATTGAATCTCTAATGATCTGTGTTTGATTTGACGTCAGGGATGGAAAAAAAGGAAGGATCGAAGGTATACTCAGGTTTCTGGCTTAGGTGACTGGATAGATACTGGAGCAATTTCACCTAAATAGAGAACAATAAAGGGATGAATGAAACACAAGACTGAGAGGAACAGAAACCTCAAAATAGTGACTATCAGGAACCACACAGCGAGCTAACAAGAGAGTATAGAAGCATGCTGTGGCTGCTCTGAGGGTCCAGGTGAGCCCATATAAATTTATACAGCCTCTAATCTGCATGCTCTTCTCCAGCAGTACACCAATGAGAAGCCAGTTATAGGTCTGGAGGGAGAGGACAGCTGAATTCTTCTAGCCTTGAGTATTTGCCAAATAAATAGAATGAAAGTGCAGTGGCATAAGAGACATGTTTGTAATGATTGGAAGATAGGAATTGAAATGATTTCCCATCGTGTTTTCTCTAAATTAGTAACAGCTTCAATCTTCTAAAATAGATTTTTATAATATTTTAAACAACTCACTTTATGGCTACATGTAAATCATACTAAAATATGTTTACATATTGAAGTGTACATTTTAAAGTTTCTATCAAAGTGCATTAGGAAGCATTGACAATTATTTAGATATATTTTTTTTAAATACTACAGAACTCATATACTCTCTACTCCCTCAAATGTCAAGGGAGTATTCTGATAAGTGACAACAGTGAAGAAAGGGATATGCAGTGTGTTGTTTTAAAAGAAGAAAAAAAGGATCAAAATTTTCTCACACATGTTTACTCTCTTCCCTCTCCTACTAATTATTTAGAAGGATTTTTTTTTTTTTTTAGTTTTTAGTTTTCCTCTGGATCAAACTTAGCTTTTCATGACAAAACACATGAATTTCATGTGGGTCAGGGTGACACTAGGGAAAGTATCTTCACTGGAGTTATTTTGCAAACAAGAAGATTCCCCTCAAAGCAAGAAATCTCAAAGAGTAAGAGGCTTTATGACATGTGGGCCTTAAGGGGGCAAAAGGAGTTGAATATACTTCTGCAATAGGATATGGGTAGAAAACATCACTGCTATATTCCTGAAGAACCACATAGGCCTCCCTGAGAAGTGCAGCATTTGAATTCTGGCCACACTGGACACATACTTAGTGAGCTGGTGTTAACTACTCAGTCAGTTATTTACAAATAGATTCAACATGGCCAGGCAACAAATTAGTGAGCTTGAAGAGAGGTAAAGAGAAACTTCCCAAACTAAAGTACAAAGAGAAAAAAAATAATGAGGAAGAGAAATAAGCATGCAAGAACTGAGGGGCAATATCAAAAGTTGTAATATATCTGTAATGCCAGAATAGGAAAAAAGAGAGTGGTGCAGAAGAAAATTTAAAGTAATGACAGCTGAAATATTCTAAAATTAATGACATAAAGCATATCACAAATCTAGGAAGCTCAGGGAACATCAAGCAGGATAAGTACCAAACAAACATACAGAAACAAACAAATAAACAAACAAAAACACACCTAGAAAGCCAGAGGAAAAAGAAACATTACCTATTGACACACAAGGATAAGAATTACATGGAATTTTTCATATGAAACCATGCAAGCAAGAAGAGAGTGGAATAAAATATTCAAAATGTTAAAAGTTAAAAACTACCAATCTGGGATTCTATATCCAACAAAGTTATCATTCAAAAGTGAATGAGAAATAAACACTCACAGAAAAACAAAAAACAGGAATTTCTTTGTCAGTGGACTTGCCTTGAAAAAAGAAAAGTCAGATGAAGTTTTTTAGGCAGAGAAAAATGATATAGTTCAAAAACTTAAATCAACATAAAGAAAATGTGTTTAAATGAATAAATAAAGGTAAAATTAAATTTTTTATTTTTAATTAATCTAAAAGATAACTGTATACAGCAATAAAAGTAATGCATTGGGTGAGTATAGCATTCAAGTAAGTGAAATGATTAACAGAAATGTCATAAGAAATAACAAGGAAGCATTGGGGATACTGAGTTATAAGGGACCTGCACTACAGCACTACCTGGGAAATAGTATACTGTTATTTTAAAGTTGTCTATGTTAGTTTAAAATGTATATTGTCAACTCTGGGCAATCACTAAAAAAGTTAAAAGAATATATAATTGATGTGCTAAAAGAAGAGATAAAATGGAATTCTATGCAATGTTCAATTAAAACCTGAAATGTCAAAAAAGAAAGAGCAGAGAGCAAATGCAAAAAGTAGAAAACAGTTACAACTGGTATAAATAATTCAACCATATCAATAATCACTTTAATCATAAACTGTCTAAATACACAAATTAAGAAAACAAAAACAAGACCCAGATATTTGTTGTCTATAACAGTGGTCCCCAACTTTTTTGACACCAAGGACCAGGAAGACAATTTTGACAATTTTTTCATGGAAGGCTAGAGTAGGGGGAAGTAGGGAATGGTTTCGGATGAATCTGTTTCACCGTAGATAATCAGCAGGCTTTAGATTCTCGTAAGGAGCCTGCAACCTAGATCCCTTGCATGCGCAGTTCACAATAGGGTTCATGTTCCTATGAGAATCTAATGCCACCGCTGATCTGACAGAGGCATATTTCAGGTTGTAATGCTAGCTTGCCCTCTGCTCATCTACAGAGTTGGGGACCCCTGGTCTACAAGACACTCCCTACAAAATAAAGACTCATATGAAATAGAAGTCAAGAGATAGAGAAAGTCATGCCATGCTCACACTGACCAAAAGAATGCCAGAATGCTTATATTAATTTTAGAAAAGCCCACTTATAATGAGAAAGATTATTATGATAATGAATACATATGCTGCCCAGAGCTGACGCTGGACTTTGCACACTCACACATATGCTCACACACACATAAGTACACTCACATATTGAACTTAAACACACTCACTTGCACACTTATTCACACATGCATGTGTGCTCACATATCAACTCCAAGCTGCTGGGGAGGCAGGAAGAGGTAGTCAGAATTGGGAGGAGAAGAAAAAACTTTATTTGGGTTTATAATTGCAGTTTTTAACTTGAAACATCTATAATCTTCTTACAACTGAAAACTGCTAGTGAATTCTAAATTCTGGCTAAGGTTATCTTACAAAATTCCCTTACTTTAGAGGAAGTAGGTTTCAATGTAGCACATGTGAGAGTTCTCAACAAACATATAACCATACATGTTCTGATAGTAGTTCTTTAAGTCTCTACAGTGATGTGGTACCTTTAAAAATATTTTGTCTAAACACCTCAACAGACATAATGTTTATGTCTACATTAAAGCTTGTTTTAAGAAAAGTTACATCAATATTTTCTTATAATGTTGGCTTGAATTAACTTTTCAGAAATATTAATTTCTCATTTGAAAACGCATTTTTTGCCTTTATTGCCTTTTAGTGAAGAAGTCATAGAAAGCATATGAATGGTTCTCCAGCTTATGCTAAATGAAGCATGTTAGAATAAATCATTTTTTGAAATATCGTGATTGACACTATCAAAATACGTAAGATGATGTTTAAAAATAGAGCTATTAAATTTTTGATTAAAGTAAACCAGGCAGCTAAACTGAATTTGGTTTGGAGGCCGACTCTATTGTGAGATAGTAAGCTCAGAGTGGTTTTGCAGTTTATACATAAGATGATCTGAGAAACTAAAATTGTTTTCTTCTGTATTTCACCATTTTCCCTCCTGTCTGCCTTTTTCCTCTTTTCTACTCTCTTGTATGCTGATATAAATTGGGGTTTTGCTAGTCTCAGACTTTTTATTATACTAGCAAAATGTTCTATAATTTCCAAGCTGTCAAAATCTGATCTGCATGCCAACAGGCTATATTTTTAAATACATGAATAACATTGTGAACAAAAACATTCCTGTCAACTGTCCATTTCCCAGTACTAAAACATCTCCATCCTTGGTTATCTGTCACACAAGTTCTTTGAGATTTGAGTGTTGAACATGTGTCACATGCTGACAGTCTACCATTACAGATTATAGTCTGCTATTATAGATTAAAAAGCATTGTCCATTCATTGCTGCTGGATCTCCTAGAACATTTGGACATGGTAACTCAACAAACAGCTGCAGTAACAAAGAATTGCTGAAACCTAGATTTTGTGTTGACAGAGCATTAATTTTAATAATGACAAATTGTCTCAGAATTCAATGCTTTTTATAATATATTCATGACCCTTCTGGTCCTGAAACAAAGTAATTTGTGTGCCTGAAAATTGTTTCTGTGCCTTAATTTGGTATCCTTATAGATTTCTTGTATTTTTATGTCAGTTTATTTGACAAAAAGTTAAATGTTTTCTTTGTAATATTTTTTCAATGAAAGGTCATACAGGCAACATATGAATGGATTTTTTTCTTTCTCTTCTGTATTCCCATAGGATTTTGAGCATGGATTTCTGATACTGCTTACTGTATTTTAATTAATTAATTATTTCTTCCACTAGCTGTGAGCATATCTGGATCTGGAATAAATTTTATACACATTTCAATAAATTTTATACATCTTTATCTTGGGCTCTGTATAGTTTCTAGTAAAACCAGAGCAGGAACCACAAACTCAGTTGCATGTAAGGGACAAGCAATCAAGTTATAACTGAGCAGGTAAAGCCTATGAATTAAAAAAATACAAAATACAGGTACACATTTCTAGAAAGACCACATTCATATTTGAGACAATAGAGAGTGGTGGTGTCAATACTGAACTAGGGAGGTCACCTTTTGCTCTCTACTCTCCAACAGAAAGTTATGCTATATTTCAAAAGACTTCAAGTAAATTTTTCTAATATATTTATAATTTTTAAATGGTGAACAATATATTTGCCAAAGAAAACGTGCCTGTTAAGTGAATTCAGGTCATTGGCAGACAGTTTTTCAAACTTTAAAGAAAGTATTTGAAAAATATAAGAATGGTTAGCTGCAGGGCATCACTGTCTTACGTGGTAGAAAAAGTCAAGAAGTGCTGAGATATGTCGCTGTCCTACTTCTTCATTCTTGGAATCTAATGGAACTGAGTGTACTTCAAATACTTCAAAGTATAGAGGTAATCCTTGAATTTATTGAGGAACTCTTTAGACGGAGGCAGAAAACACTTTCCGGTAGCTGTTTATTGTTCATCTGCAAGTTATTCATTATTTTGTGTGGAAATATCAAATTGCCAATTAATGATGATGAGAAATAAGTATTTATGACATAGCAATCACGTTTTAAAGCTAATATAACAAAAAAGTTTGTGTGCCACCAAGTATTTTCTAATTTGTGAAATACTATAAACATTAAAAAAAGTTCTGTTTACAGTTTGTGGTTTTGCTCATTACCATGTAGTTTTTGATAGATGGGAAAATTTGTTTCTCTTATTCTTAGATACTATATGTTGCTTTATTCAATAAGAAAATAAGGAATAAATAATGAAGAAGTGATGGAGAGAAAAAAAATCCAGCAAGTACATGATGCTGGGTTATTCTGGTCTCCTAATCTCCTAGTCTGCTTGTTGGAAAATAACAAAACGAATTTTTGAATACTTTTGTGAGAGTAGAGAAGTCTTAGCTTTATGAATTGCTTGCAAACAAAGGAACTCACAGGAGAGCAGAGAAAAGTGAAAAAGATAAGACAGAGTTATGCCATTTAGTGAATATGTGGAATTATCTAGCAGATATACCTATGTAGTTTCTTTTTACGAGGTACATAATGGCCACTAATCCATTGTGAATTACACTTTGGCTTTCACATTGTGAAAACAACAATGCAGCAACAAAAGAGGCTAATGTGAAATCCAATATTCCTCAATGTGCTAAAGATTTATTCTTAAGGAATCTGAATTCAAAATCAGGTTTTAAATTAGAGAAATTAGATTATTTATAAAGACCTTTAAGAATATCTGGGTCTAATGTGAGACATTTTGGAAAGTGGCAGCAAACTCTTTGTTTAGTGTAAAAATTGATAGACTTCAGAAAGAAAACATGATTTTTTTGTGATACAGAAAGAAATCAGATAAATAGAAATTAGCACACCTGTGACTTTTGAATCTGAATTATATTAAGAATCAAGCAAGTGAAGATTATAATGCTGAAGAAGAGTTCAGGGCTTAAGTGTCAGAACTGTTTAAGAGGATGTCTGCCTGGTCATACATCTATAAGTTTCAGTGCTGAGTTTTTGATTAACAAGGATAAACTGACATTCAGCTGCAGCTACACAGAAGAGGCTATGTGATTAAAACTTATAAGCATTGATGTCTGCTTGCTGGCACAAAAGCAAACAGACATCCATACAAGGATCCACTTAATAATTATTCTATGAAATCCCAAACTATCTAGCTTAAAGTAATTTGGCATTTAAAATCCTTTAAATGTTAGTTAATACATCTGCTCATCTGGAGCACATTCAATTTATTTATTAAAATAGAGTTTGCTTTCCCCATGCAACTTAACTTTTTCACCCTTTAGACTACTGGTAAGCAGGAGAAGGGGACATTTACTCACCAATTTTCCACTTTGTTGTCACTAGATAATTTCAGGTTTTTCTTCACTGTCTTTAATGATAGATAAAAGGAGATAGATTCTTCTTATCAAATTAGTTGTCCTAATAGGCCTTATAATTTTTGCATTTAAATATTGATACCTTTGAGATGCTAAGGTGTGAGGATCACTTGAGGTCAGGAGTCTGAGACCAGCCTGGCCAACTTGGCGAAACCCTGACTCTACTAAAAATACAAAAAACTAGCTGGGTGTGGTGGCACAGGCCTGCAATCCCAGCTACTCAGGAGGCTGAGGCAGGAGAATCACTTGAACCTAGGGGCAGAGGTTGCAATGAGCCGAGATGGTGCCACTGCACCCCAGCTTGGTGGCAGAAGGAGACTCTATCTCAAAATAAATAAATAAATAATTTAATTTAATTAAAATATATATATATATTTATTGATACCTTGCCTTTGTGCATTTCTTCAAGAACTCATCTTAGAATGTAACTAAACCTTACTACAAGTGATAAAATTCCAGGGAGAAATGATACACCTGAGAAGTATAAACAGTTTAGTTTCAACCTGCTCATTCAGCATGGCTCAAGCTTAAAGGCATTTATTTACCTGGTTACTGATGAAAAGGACAAGTGAAGTTTAAAAATGTCAATTCGCTAGCACTCCCAAAGTAGCTCTTATATGCTAGTCTTTGCGACTGCCTTATAATGCTCATTTAACGAATGAACTGGTAAAGAAGTTAAAACTCAGAGAAATTGCATAACTTAGAGTAACGCATCAGGCTTACAACACAGGAGTTTGAGATTCCAAAGCTCAGGTTCTTAACCATAGTTCTAAGTACACTGCATCATTTTTTAATTTCTCCTTGTTAATCCATAAGTTATTTCTTATACTTGATACAAATTTTATCCCACCTCTTTAATTTTGTTGTCTTTGTCACTGCTTGCATCAGTTCAATGAGTAGCCCATGACTCTGGCCATAAGAAATACGGTATCAGCATTTCTTCGGTTGAGACCATGGGATCCTACAATAGGTAGTGGATTTTAATCACATAGTCATTCTCATTTTTTTTCTTATTTCACTTTTTTGATGTTTTGGGAATCAGAACACTAATATATTTGCATTTTATCTTTACTTTCCCTTATTTCTTCTTATTTTTTTAAAGGTTATTTCTACCTCCAGGTTCTCATCCATACATCCCTGCCAGCTATCAGTTCCTCACACATATATGTAGCAACACTAGATATTATCATGCTTTCTCAAATGACTACTTCCTTGATGGTATAAAATATACACATATGTATTTCCAAACCAAATTTTTATATTTTACAAAAGCACATGTGTTTGAGCAAAAGAAAAGCTGCCTACTTTGCTACCAAGTTAAATACTTAATTCATAATTCTGTTTTTGGAAAACAGGGATATTCTTTCAGACTGCCTTCCCAAGATACGTGTGAATTGTTCATTTTAGTGCATTTTACATTTAGTGGATTTTGATCCCACTTACTCTAGACAGGTGATGAATATACAAATTATATAACTGGTTATTGCTTATCAAATATTAAAGAGATGTCAAACGAAGAAGTGGAGAGTAGACTGAAGATGACCTTGAAGAATATATTAAGTAAAGTAATCAGAAGACCATGATCATAAAGTCTGTGCTGAACATGAACACTTTGGCGGAGATAATAAAACTTGTGTTCACATTAGGTAATAAAGTGTTTGAGGTTAAGCCATATTTGGAACAAAGCACAAAACTTTGATTCAGCAAAGGTGCAGCAAAGTTGATAATCCTTATGGAACTTTACAAAGATTTTTAGAAAATGTCAAAGCAAACATCAATCATAAGCTTCTTTCAGAAACATTATGGGCTGTCTTCAAATAAAGCAGCTGCGCCTTTCAGGGAGACAGCCTTGACTGGGGGGAGAAAAAGCACAGAGCTTAATATTAGATGCACCTGTGTCTAACTTCGGGCTTCATCGTTTTCTAACTGTTGGCTATGGGGAATTTTTTTATTTTCCCAGAGCCTCAGAGACTCCATCTGTAAACTGGGGAAAATGATACAGTCATAACTCTCTGCTGTGAGCAGGAAAGTACTTGGTTCACAATGAATACAAAAAATGTGTTTTCGAAGGTATAATATATTCGCACGAAGGGACAAAGTTGGGCCTGAAAAAATCTTGGTGCCTTTCTCAAGCTATTCTTTGGAAACCCCAATGCTTTATATCACTCCAAATTTTTATTTTACCCATGGATAGGTATTTTCATTATTTTAATGCATGTGTACAAATTTTGAGTAGTTAACCATGGAAATTGTTAGTAGTTAACAATGGAAATTGTTAGTAGTTAACAATTTTGAGTAGTTAACAATGGAAAGCTCTGTTTTATAAAGTCTCTTGACATCTTTTTTTGTAGACTCCACATTTGTACCATTTTCCAGGTTGTATTTTGGAGAATAAGGATATTTATAAATCTAATGCAATTATAGTTATCACGATGACTATAAGTAAATTAAGAATATAAATAAAATATTAGAGCAACTTTAAATAAATAATAACAGGTGGTCAAGGGCATGTTATTAAAACTTCATTAAGGCACAAAGTCTTGCATATAGAATTGCCTTACTCCTTTATAGGAAATACTCTAGGACAAATCTCTAAACACCTTTTTTTCTCATGTCATTATCAATAATATTTTCACTAAATATATGGAGATTGACTATACTGCATAAGCTTTCCTTCCACAGAAGTAACAGTTGTTATTCCAATCTTAGTATAGGAAGCAGTGCTAAGCAATAGTTAGAGATTTCTGCAAGTGCTTTCCCAGTATGCCCAAACTCTAACTTTATCCTCTCTCTCTCTTTTCCTGCTTCTTCAGAATAGAACAGTGTACTCAAGGTTAATCCTCTGTGTTCGAGTGGTACTCTCATTTGTCCTCAGAGAATTTTTCCTATTAATTAACCATTCCCTGCTCCTTTCTTAAGATAGGCACAAATTTATTCTCCTGCCTCTCCACTATCACTTTGCCTACAATCATATAGTCTCTTTATGCTAAAATTGGCTAAAATTCACTTATGCCCTGGAGCTGTTATGCAAACTTTCTGCTACCTCCCCCTGACTGATTTCTTCAAATTGCTTCATGTTTTCCCCAGGAACTGACTCATTAGTTCTTTTGTATTTGGCTTTGGGTTTGACCTCTACACCGAAACACCCTCCTCTTTTGAAAGTCACTAATGACTTCCTAGTTACTAAATTTTGAGGGATTCATCCTACTTGACACTTCAACCCCATTTGACAATGATGACTTTTCCTTTGTCCTTGCAGTGTTTGTCTGCCACAAGTGATAATAAACTCTCAGTTCACACTTTGTTTCTCCTTTATTGATTCTTCTCTTCACCTGAAAAGTCCTCTGAGTTCTACATATAACATTTTCCTTTTATTTTTTTATACAATATCCTCTTCTAATATTATTAAAGGTCTTAGCTTCCATTCCTGTCTTAAAGTACTCACAACTACCTTCAAGGCTAAAAATTTTAGTGCTACATTTGCAATCTGAAATGTAGACCTCTCTGACTGAATATCTTTAGATCATTTCACATTCTTCTCAATTTCTTGGTTTTCTTCCCAAACCAACTCCTCCACCAGATCAGCCAGTTCAGAATCTTTGTTTTACTCATTGCTTTCCCTTGTTCTCGATGCCCTGTCAGTTACCAGTCCTTTTGATTCTACCCTACCATTTTTCTTGCCGTAATTTCTTCCTTCTTTATTTGTATTTCCATCATTCTAATACAGAGTCTTTTTAATATCTCTTTAGCTATACTGCAGGAATCTTCTGATTGGTCTCAACTTCCATCTTTGTTCTAGAACTTCATTCAGCACCAAACACTGCATTAATCACAGTCAAGCTTATCTCTGCCTTTCTCCGACAGAAATGTTCACTGCTTTCAGTACTTTCTCGTTAAAGCTGAGGTTGCTTCAAAACTATTTGAGGCCCTTCATGGTCTAACCTTAACCTTGAGTTCCAGGTGTTGACTCTTTGATACAAAAGCATTCTATTGCCATCCTTCAAACATAACATTCTTTACACCTTACACATGCTCTTGTCTGTGTGATCACATTTCCAATTTTACTTTTGGAAATTCTATACCTTCAAGACCAACTTATGAATAATTGTAGCACTTCACTCTTCTCTTAGTGGCTGCACCATACACACTGTTTTGGGATTTTTGTTTTATTAGATGAACCGTATAAAATTGCCATTTTGTAGGACAAAAATTGTAGAAAATAGAAAATTTTACCAGGTGTAACCTAATATTTTTCCTATTGAATTGGAAGCTCCTTGAAAGTACAATTGAGTTTTACCTATCCTTATAAATTCCCCAGCATACTGATATTTATAATCACTCAATATTTATTTATGGAATTTAAGAGTTGGTAATACATACCATGTACATTATTTATACTTGGATGTATTGTAAATAATTTACTTTGTGCTTTTAGCTTGCTTATATTTTTCTACACTAATTGTTTTTAACATTTTGTGCTTTGATATATACTGTGCATGCAGAAAAGTAAATAAAAATTGTTTCTATTAGCCGTAGTATCTATTTGTGCAAGTTGTCTCAACTTCTTTTTTAAGAAATGTAAAATGTTATCTTTCTTTTACATACAAATTTTACCTAAGTAGCCAATACTTCTGACCATCAAAGATGTCTTATTTCACATCCCTACCACTTAAGTTTTTACCATAATACAAGCAAACTATTTCACATACATTGTGCCTCTCACAACTAACTCATTAATTATTTGTGTGTGTGTGCATTGAGTTAGAAATGGGTATACCGGAGATAAGAGGGGCCCAAGAAGGAACTGTATCTGCTGAAATGCTGAAATGTGTCTCTATCTACTTCCTAATTTTCTTTTTTTTTTGTGGGGGTGGGAGTTGGGAGGGCAGTCATAGTTTATTTATTTATTTATTTCTTCTTCTTAAAAAAGGGGTACATTTGCAGAACATGCAATTTGTTACATTGGTGTACATGTGCTTTGGTGGTTTGCTGTACCTATTGACTCATTCTCTAAGTTCCTTCCCTTCACCCCTCAACAGTCCCTGGTGTGTATTGTTCCCCTCTCTGTGTCCACGTGTTCTCAATATTTGACTCCTGTTTGTGAGTGAGAACATGGTGTGTTTGGTTTTCTGTTCCTGTGTTAGTTTGCTGAGGATGATGGTTTCCATCTTCATCCATGTCCCTGCAGAGGACATGATCTCATTCCTTTTTATGGCTGCATAGTATTCCATGGTGTATATGTAGCACATTTCCTTTATCCAGTATATCATTGATGGGCATTTGGGTTGGTTCCATGTCTTTGCTATTGCAAATAGTGCTGCAATAAACATACATGTGCATGTGTCCTTATGATAGAATGATTTATATTCCTTTGGGTATATATCCAGTAATGGGATTGCTGGGTCAAATGGTATTTCTGGTTCTAGATCCTTGAGGAATCGCCATACTGTCTTCCACAATGGTTGAACTAATTTACATTCCCACCAACAGTGTAAAAGCATTCCTATTTCTCCAAAGCCTTGCCAGTGTCTATTGTTTCCTGACTTTTTAATAATTGCCATTCTGACTGGCATGCGATGGTTTCTCATTGTGGTTTTGATTTGCATTTCTCTGATGATCAGTGATGTTGATCTTTTTTTCATATGTTTGTTGGCTGCATAAATGTCTTCTTTTGAGAAGTGTCTGTTCAGATCCTTTGTCCACTTTCTGATGTGTTTTTTTTTTCTTGTAAATGTGTTTAAGTTCCTTGTAAATTCTGGATATTAGACCTCTGTCATATGGGTAGATTGCAAACATTTTGTCCCCTTCTTTAGGTTGCCTATTCACTCTGATGATAGTTTCTTTTGCTGTCCAGAAGCTCTTTAGTTTAATTAGCTCTCATTTGTCAATTTTGGCTTTTGTTGCATTTGCTTTTGGCATTTTAGTCAGAAGTCTTTGCCCATGCCTATGTCCTGAGTGGTATTGCCTAGGTTTTCTTCTAGGGTTTTATGATTTTGGGTTTTATATTTAAGTCTTTAATTCATCTTGAGTTAATTTTTGTGTAAGGTGTAAGGAAGGGGTCCAGTTTCAGTTTTCTGCGTATGGCTAGCCAGTTTTCCCAGCACCATTTACTGAATAAGAGATCCTTTCCCCATTGCTTGTTTTTGTCAGGTTTGTTGAAGATCAGATGGTTGTAGATGAGTAGTGTTATTTATGAGGTCTCTGTTCTGCTCCATTGATCTATATGTATGTTATAATACTAGTACCATGCTGTTTTTGTTACTGTAGCCTTGTAGTATAGTCTGAAGTCAGGTAGCATGATGCCTCCAGCTTTGTTCTTTTTGCTTAAGATTGTCTTGTCTATTTGGGGTCTTCCTTCATTCCATATGAAATTTAAAATAGTTTTTTTCTAATTATGTGAACAATGTCAATGGTAGTTTGCTGAGAATAGCATTGAATCTATAAATTACTTTGGGCAGTTTGGCCATTTTCATGACATTGATTCTTCATATCCATGAGTATGGAATGTGTTTCCATTTGTTTGTGTCCTCTCTTATTTCTTTGAGCAATGTTTTGTAGTTCTCTTTGAAGAGGTCATTACATCTCTTGTTAGCTGTATTCCTAGGTATTTTATTCTCTTTGTAGCAATTGTGAATGCGAGTTCATTCAAGATTTTGCTCTCTGTTTGCCTATTGTTGCTGTAAAGGAATGCTTGTGATTTTTTGCACATTGATTTTGTATCCTGAGACTTTGCTGAAGTTGCTTATCAGTTCAAGAAACTTTTGGGCTGAGATGATGAGGTTTCCTAAATACACAATCATGTCATCTGCAAACAGAGACAACCTGACTTCCTCTCTTCCTATTTGAATAGGCTTTATGTCTTCCTCTTGCCTGATTGCCCTGGACCGAACTTCCAATACTATGTTAAATAGGAGTGGTGAGAGAGGGCATCCTTGTCTTTTACCGGTTTTTAAAGGGAATGCGTTCACCTTTTACCCATTCAGTATGATATTGGCTGTGGGTTTGTCATAAACAGTGCTTATTATTTTGAGATGTGTTCCATCAATACCTAGTTTATTGAGAGTTTTTAACATGAAGGGGTGTTGAATTTTATCAAAGGCATTTTCTGCATCAGTGTTAAGAGGGAAATTTATAGCACTAAATGCCCACATCAGAAAGCTAGAAAGCTCTCAAATCAATACCCTAAATTCACAGTTAAAAGAGCTAGAGAAGCAAGATCAAACTAATCCAAAAGCTAGCAGAAACAAGAAATAACTAAGATCAGAGAAGAATTAAAGGAGATAGAGACTTGAAAAACCATCCAAGAAAATCAACGAATCCAGGAGCTGGGTTTTTGAAAAAAATTAACAAAATAGACCACTGGCTATACTAAGAAAGAAGAAGAGAGAGAAGAATCAAATAGACACAATTGAAAATAATAAAGGGGATATCACCACTGACCCCACAGGAATACAAACTACCATCAGAGAATACTATAAACACATCTATGCAAATAAACTAGAAAATCTAGAAGAAATGAATACATTCCTGGAGGCATACACCCTACCAAGACTAAACCAGGAAGAAGTTGAATCCCTGAATAGACCAATAACAAGCTCTGAAATTGGGGCAGTAATTAATAGCCTACCAACCAAATGAAAGCCCAGGACCAGAGGGATTCACAGCTGAATTCTACCAGAACTACAAAGAGGAACTGGTACCATTCCTTCTGAAACTGTTCTAAACAATTTAAAAGGAGGGACTCCTCCTTAACTCATTTTAGAAGCCAGCATCATCCTGATACCAAAATCGAGAAGAGACACACAAAAAAGGAAAACTTCAGGCCAATATCCCTGATGAACATTGATGTGAAAATCCTCAATAAAATACAGGCAAACCGAATCCAGCAGCACATATATAACTAACCTGCACATTGTGCACATGTACCCTAAAACTTAAAATATAATTAAAAAAAAAAGCTTATCCACCACGATCAAGTTGGCTTCATCCCTGGGATGCAAGCCTGGTTCAATATATGCAAATCAATAAATGTAACCCATCACATAAATAGAACCAAAGACAAAAACAACATGCTTCCTAATTTTCAAAATGATCAAGCTTGCCTAACAGATTTGCCTTAAGAATAAAGTATCTTGTATTTAAAACCTAAATAAAGCCTAAAGAATGTGATTCTAATACAAAATATTAAGTAATATCAAAATTCTCCATATATTCACATTCATGGGATTATGGTATGAATTTTTCTGGGAATTAGAGGCTTTGATACCATTTAGCCATTGACAATTATGAACATCAGTCTCTAAACATTGGACTCAATCTTTGAGATCATTCATCTGTATTTCTTTTAGTAGAGGCTGAAAAAAGCACATTGATTAGTGTAGTTTTATATTATTATTACTTATTATTATTATGGCCTTTTGAGTGAGGGTGAAGGTATCATCACCTGCTGTTAAATTATTTGCTTTTGGGCCGGGCACGGTGGCTCACGCCTGTAATCCCAGCACTTTGGGAGGCCGAGGTGGGTGGATCACGAGGTCAAGAGATTGAGACCATCCTGGCTAACATGGTGAAACCCCGTCTCTACTAAAAAATGCAAAAAATTAGCCGGGTGTGGTGTCGGCCGCCTGTAGTCCCAGCTACTTGGGAGGCTGAGGCAGGAGAATCACTCCAACTCAGGAGGCGGAGGTTGCAGTGAGCCAAGATTGCGCCACTGCACTCCAGTCTAGTGACAGAGTGAGACTCCGTCTCAAAAAAAAAAAAAAAAAATTTGCTTTGGGTAAAATACTGCATTTTAGAAGAACACATATTATTCTAGAAATCAACCTTGTCTATATATGAGATGTTCACATTGCATGAAAATTCTTTGCAAGAAAACACAAGCCAGCAGCTATTTTACATGGTAATTTTAGTATCACTATACTTGTTTTTTTCTGTTTGCATGTTTTTAAACATTTATGATTTTGTCACCTTCTCTTTATGTTTCCCAGAAGTCAACCATGTACAACTCAAACTTTCTTTCTTCCTTATTATTATTTCTTAGTAGACTATTGTTTAGATCAATTTTCGGTTCAGAGCATAATTGAGTGGCAGGTACAGAGATTTCCCTTAAATCTTCTGACCCCACATTTGCATAGACTATCCCATTATCAATATCCCCTATGAGAGTGGTACAATTTTTATGACTGATGAGCTTACATTGACACATCATTATTACCCAGAGTCCACAGATAGTTTACATTAGGTTTCATTCATGGTGTGGTACATTATATAGATTTAGACAGATGTATAATGGCATGCATCTACTATTATAGTATACATAATAGTTCTGGAGCCCTAAAAATCTTCTTTACTCCACCTTTTCATCCCTATCTTCCCTCTAACCCCTGGCAGGCATTGATCTTTTTGCTGTCTCTATAGTTTTAACCTTTTCCAGAATGTCATATAGTTGAAAATCATACAGCCATTTAAGATTGACTTCTTTCACTTAATAATATACATTTAAGTTTCTTCCATGTCTTTTCATGGTTTGATAACTCATTTCTTTTTGGCACTTAATAATATTTTACTGTCTTTATTTACCACAGTATATTTCACTATCCACCTATTGAAGAATATCTTGTTTCTTCCAAGATTTGGCAATTGTGAATAAAGCTACTGTAAACATTGGTGTGCACAATTTTGTGTGGACAAAAATTTTCAGCTTTCACTGGTAAATATCAAGCAGCATGATTGCTGGGTCTTATGGCAACTGTATGTTTAGTTTCATAAGAAACAAATACACTGTTTTCCAATCAGCTATACCATTTTCCATTCCCACCAGCAATGAATGAGAGTTCATGTGGGTCCACATCCTCACCAGCATTTGGTATTGTCAGTGTTTGATATATGGGTAATTGTAATAGGTTTTTAGTGGTATTAACCTGCATTTCCCTGATGACATGATGTGGAACGTTTCTTCATATTCTTATTTGCCATCTGTATATCTTCTTTGTTGAGGTGTCTGGTAAGGTCTTCAGCCAATTTTTAAAATCTGGTTGTTTCTTTATTGTGGAGTTTTAAGAAATCTTTGTAATAGGTAACAGTCGTATATTTGATGTGCCCTTTGCAAATATTTACTCCCAGTCTGTGGCTCATCTTCTCATTCTTTTGATGCTGTATTTCGCATAGTAGTTTTTAATTTTAATGGAGTCCAGCTCATCAATTATTTCTTTCATGAATCATGCCTTTGGTGGTGTAGCTAAAAAGTTATTGGCATACCCAAGGTCATCTACGTTTTTAACCATGCTATCTTCTAGGAGTTTTATAGTTTTAGGTCTTAAATTTAGGTAGGTCTATGATCTATTTTGGGTTAATTTTTGTGAAGGATATAAGGTGTCTAGATTTATTTATTTTTTTATTTGATGTGCAGTTGCTCCAGCACCAGTTATTGAAAAGATTATATTTTTTTCAATGTTTTGCCTTTTCTTCTTTGTCAAAGATCAGCTAACTATATTTATGAATGTCTCTTTCTGGATTTTCTACTATCTTCCATTGATCTATTTGTCTGTTGTTTCATTAGCACACTGTATTTGATACCTGTAGCTTTATACTATCCCTTGAAGTCGGGTAGTGTCCGTGCTTCAACTTATTCCTCCTCCTTCAATATTTTGTGGGTCTTTTTGCCTCCTCGTATAAACTTTAAAATCAGTTTGCTATTACTCACAAACCACTTTTGGGGATTTTAATTGGGATTGTGCCGAATCAAGTTGGGAGGAACTGGCATCTTGGTAATATTGAGTCTTCCTATACACAAACATGGAATAATTCTCCATTAATTTAGTTATTCTTTGACTTATTTTATCAGAGTTGCATAGTTTTCCTCACGTAAATTTTGCACTTATTAGAATTATACCTAAATATTTCATTTTCAGGGTGCTAATGTAAATAGTATTTTTTTTCAAATTCCATTTGTTTATTGCTGGTATAAAGGGAAGCAATTGACTTTTGTATATTAACTTTGTACCTTGTGACCTATATTCACTTATTATTTCCAGGAGGGTTTTTTTTTGTCAATTATCTCAGATGTTTTACATAGACAATCATGTCACCTGCAAACAAAGACAGTTTTATTTTTCCTTCCCAATCAGTATACCTTTCGTTTCCTTTCTTTGTCGTATTGGCTGAGCTAGGTTTTCTAGTACAATGTTCAAAGAGTGTGGTGAGATGGGACATCCTTGCCTTCTTCCTGATTCCTGATTTTAGTTGGAAAGCTTCCAGTTTCTCAACATTAAGTATGATGTTAGCTACAGATTTTTATCGTTTTTTGTTTTTGTTTTTGTTTTTAGATGGAGCCTCGTTCTGTCACCCAGGCTGGAGTGCAGTGGCACAATCTGGGCTCACTGCAACCTCCGCCTCCCAGGTTCAAGGCATTCTCCTGCCTCAGCCTCCTGAGTAGCTGGGACTACAGGCCTGTGCCACCACGCCAGGCTAATTTTTTTTATTTTTAGTATAGACAGGGTTTCACCAGGTTAGCCAGGATGGTCTGGATCTCCTGACTTCATGATCCACCCACCTCGGCCTCCCAAAATGCTGGGATTACAAGCGTGAGACACCACGCCCAGCCTAGATTTTTTATATTAAGTTGAGAAAGTCTCAATCTATTCCTAGTTTACTGAAAGTTTTTTTTTTTAATCATGAATGGGAGATGGATTTTTCCAAATTCTTTTATTTACGTCTACTAATATGGTGTGATCTTTCTTCTTTAGCCTGTTGGTATGATGGATCACATTAATCAGTTTTCCAATGATGAGCCAGCATTGCATACTTGAAATAAATTCCACTGGATCATGGTCTTTTTATACATTGTTGGATTTAATTTCCTAATATTTTGCTGATAATTTTTACATCTTTGTTCATAAGATATATTGGTCTGTAGTTTTTGTTTTTTGGAATGTCTTTTTCTGGTTTTGGTACTACTAGGAAAATGATGGCCTTATTAAATGAATTAGAAAGTACTCCCTCTGCTTCTATCTTCTAAAAGGGATTGTAGAGAATTGCTGTGATTTTTTTCCTTAAATGTTTGTTAGAATTCACCAGTGAACCCACTTGGCCTAGTGATCTTTGTTTTGGAAGGTAATTATTGACTGAATTTCTTTAATAGATATAATCCTAATAAGATTGTTTACTTCTTCTTGTGTGAGTTTTGGCAGATTTGGTCTTTCAAAGAACTGCCCCATTTTACTTATGTTATCAAATATGTAGACATGGAGTTGTTCATAGTATTTCTTTATTATCCTTACAATGTCCATGGTGTCTGAAATGATGTCCCCTCTTTAATTTCTGATACTAGCCATTTGAATCCTCTCTTTTTTTTTCTCAGCGTAACTATAGGCGTATTACTCTTATTGATCATTTTAGAGAACCAGCTTTTGGTTTCTTGATTTTCTCTACTGATTTTCGGTTTACAATTTCATTGATTTCAGCTCTAATTTTTATTGTTTCTTTTGATTACTTTAAATTTTCTAGTTTTTTAAGGTAGAAGCTTAGATTGATTCTAGATCATTTTTTTCTAAAACAGTAATGGACTACATAACAGTGTTTTAGTCAACAATGGACTATGTATACAAGGATGGTCCCTGTGATTATAATACCATATTTTTACTGTACCTTTTCTATGTTTAGATATGCTTAGATACACAAATACCAACCACTGTGTTACAATTGCCTACAGTATTCAGCTCAGCAATATGCTGTGTAGGTTTGTAGCATAGGAGCAATAGACTGAACTATATAGCTTAGGTGTTTAGTAGGCTAGACCATATAAGTTTGTGAAGATACATTCTATAACATTCACACAAAATTACCTAAAGATGCATTTCTCACAATGTATCCCCGTCATTGTTATACATGACTGTACATGCATTCAGTGATATAGATTTTCTTATAAGCACTGCTTTTGCTGCATCTCACAAATTTTGACAAGCTGTGTTCTCATTTTCTTTTACTTCAAAATCTTTTAAAATTTTTCTTGAAATTTCTTCTTTGACCCATGTGTTATTGAGAAGTGTGTTGTTAATCTCCAAACATTTTGGGGTTTTCTAGCTATCTTTCTATTATTGATTTCTAGTTTAATTCCACTATAGTCTGAGATCAGACACTATATGATTTTTTTTTTTCCTTAAATTCTGTACGGTGTGTTTTATGCCCCAGAATGTGACCTATCTTGGTTACTGTTCCATGCAACCTTGAGAAGACGGTGTATTATGCTGTTGTTTGATGACGTAGTCCTATAGATGTCCATTATATCCATTTGACTGATGGTGTAGTTGAGCTCAACTATGTCTTTACTGCTTTTCTCCCTGATGAATCTGTCCATTTCTGATAGTTGGGTGTTAAATTTTCAATTACAATACTGGATTAATCTATTTCTCTTTGAAGTTCTATCGTTTTTGCCTTCAGTATTTGCACATACATACTAAAAATTGTTATGTCTTCTTAAAAAATTAATCACTATTTTATTATTTAATGCCCCTTGTAATCCCTGAATAACTTTCTTTGTTCTGAAGCCTGCTCTGTCTGAAGTTAATATATCTACTGCCACATTCTTTTGACTAGTGTTAGAATGATTTATCTTTCTCCGTTTATTTATTTTTAATCTATATGCGTCTTTATATTTGAAGTGAATTTCTTGTAGACGACATATAGTTGGGGCTTGTTTTTTTATCCACTCTGACAATCTCTATCTTCTACTTGATGTACTTAGACTATTGAAATTTAATGTGATCACTGATATAGCCAAAATAATATGTGCCATATTAGTAATGCTTTGTGTTACCTATTTTCTTTGTTTCTATTTTTGTCTTTCAATTTTTTTTTTGCCTTTTCTGGTTTTAGTTAAGCATTGCATATCATTGTATTTTCTCTCTTATAGCATTTTTCCTCCCCCTTCCACTCCTTCTCTTCTTTTCTTCTTCCTTTTTTCTTCTTCTTCATTTTTTTAGTGACTGTAATAGAGTTTCCAATATACATTTACAATTAATCCAAGTCCATTTGCAAATAGCATTATACTGCTTCATGCGTAGTGCAAATATCTTTTAAGAAAAGAAATCCTAATTTCTCCTTCCAATGTTTGTGTTATTTCAGTCATTTACTAGACTTATATGTAAGCATACATATGTGACACATATATGAAACATACAAATATGATTACATATATGACTAAATACTTTGTTGCTATCATTATTTTGGACCAACTGTTATGTGTTAGATTAACTAAGAATTGAAAAATACATTTTAATTTTACACACTTATTTTTTTCTCAAATTATGTTCATTTCTTTATGTAGAATCAAGTTTATGACCTGCATTATTTTCCTTCTGTTTAAAAAAATTTTTTCGCACATGTCTAGTAAGGCAAGTCACTGGCAACAAATTCCCTCCATTTTTGCTTTTCTAACAAAGTCTTTATTTCTTCTTCATAGTTAAAGGATATTTCTCACAGTACAGAATTATAGGTTGGTGCTTTTTGTCTGAACATTTTAGATATTTCACTTTGTTCTCTCCTTGCTTGCATGTTTTCTGAAGAGAAATCAAATGTAATTCTTATCTTTGCTCCTCTGTTTCCCCCTATAACTTATTTCAGAATTTTTTAAATTTTGTTTTTTGTAGTTTGAATATGATGTGCGTAGGTGTAATTTTGGGGGAGATTTATCCTCCTTGATATTCTCTGAGGTTCCTGGATCTCTGGTTTGGTGTTTGACATTAATTTGCGGAAATTATCTGTCATAATTGCTTCAAATACTTATTCTCTTCGTTTCTCTCTTTCTCTCTTTTTGATATTTTCATTAACCATGATTACACTTTTGGTATTTATTCCGTAGTTCTTGGATATTCTGGATTTTTCTTTTCAGTCTCTTTTTTTCTTGGCTTTTTAGTTTTGAAGATTTTACTGAGATATTTTCAAGCTCAGAGATTTTCCCCTTAGCTGCATCCAAGCTACTCATGAGCCCATCAAGAGAATTCTTCATTTTTGTTACAGTGTTTTTGGTCTTCAGCATTTCTTTTTGATTTTTCTTAGAATTTCCATCTCTTATATTCTACAACATTACATCTATTTACATTGCCTATATGTTCTTGCTTGCTGCCTAGTTTAACTGGTAGATTCCTTAGCATGTTACAGTTGTCTAAAACTATTGTTCTGAAATTTCCACATCCCTGCCATCTCTGAACCTTGTTCTGATGATTGATTTTGAAACTGTGTTTTCTGCCTTTTAGTATGCCTTGTATGCTTCGTAATTTTTTCTTGGCAGCCAGATATGATTACTGGATAAAAGGAACTACTGTAAATAAGTTCCAATAAGCCCCCTTCAGGTTAGGCTAGTTAAATATTTTCTCTCGAGGACAGAACTTGTTAAGAAAAACAGATTCTCTGCCATATTTCAAAATAATTACTTTTCCTCTCCCACTGAAGATAGCAGAGAGAATTATTTTTCTCCAGTATTCACTGTAAAAACCTGGTCAAGCTTCTGGAGGTAAAAGTTACAGAAGTGTGGGGGGCCTTATGACTGGGTTTCCCTGGAGTTTCTGAATTTCAGACTTGTCTACTGAGCCTGTAGCAATTTGTCAAGTACAGTTCAGTTTTTCCTACCTGAGCACTGATTCCCACGGAGATTTCTGCTTGGGAGGTTTCTGTTCCAGTAAGTTGTAATTATTTGTATTTGCATTTCTAGCTCCAATTTTGAGGGCAGAGGTATGCCCTGTGACTTCACTTCTCCTAGAGCTCTAACAAAAGTTGTTGATTGTTTAGTTTGTTCAGCTTTGTAATTGTTAGAATGGAGTTGCGACTGCCAAGGTCCTTAAATGCTAGACCAGAAACTGTAAGTCTCTGGATTGATTTACAATAAAGAAAAATAAAGGAGAAATAAAGAAAAAGCAACATAGGCACTATTTTTAATAGTGAATCACTTGTGATCTGAACTCTGGCTTCTTATTTTTAAACCTCCAATATCTGGTAATCTCTAGATTTTTGACATGCATAGGAATTTTTACTTCAGTTATAGATATCAAAAGTAGAAGCCAATTGAATGAATAAAATTCTGCAAGGCTTAGTTTGGGATTTCTTTGAGGTTGTCATTATATACCTATTATATTCAAGCTTTTAAAAATGTTAGCCCTGATGTCACATGCCTTTCACAATAATATTGACTTACATGTAAAAAAGTTTGCCCTTTCATTAATGCAGTTATTAGAAAAAAGGGTAAGAAGTATGAAAGTGATCTCTCAATTCATAAAGTGCTATCCTTTTCCATATTAATTATCTCTTAGTGGCAGTATTTTTGACCATGAAATAATCACTATTTCCCACTCAAGCAATATACATTTTTTAACTACCACATACATCATAAATTTCTCATTCATTTTTCCTTTCACAACTAACAGAATAATTATCAAAAATGTGAAGAAATTTGAAACATCAGAATGATAAGCAAGGTACAGAAAGAGAAAATTTTACACGATATTCTTGTTCTTTTACTCTAGAATTATACGTTATTATTAGTAATGTAATTGATATTATTCTCATTAATAACCTAAACTAACAAAATAATTTTAGCACCAATAATACATGTTCTCTTTATTTGCTTATGATACCAGATTGCTTAAAAGTCATAGAATAGAAAGAAGAATAAAAATGTGTGTTTTTATGCCTGAAACTTATTTTTGACAATGTTTATCCAATTGTTTTTGTTGCATAGATACTAGAAATAGCTGAATGTTATATGGATTTTTTTAGAATGATTATATCAATATTTCTAAAATATTTGACAGAAAGAATGTTGTGTAATTTGTAGAGTTTTTTTTACAGGGAATAAGAGGTATCAATTGTTAATAGCAATAATATTAAATATACACAAATCCAAGTAGATTGATAGGCATGTCATATCTATATTCTCTTCTCTAATTACTGTAGGCCACACTTGTGCTATAGAAATTCTTCCCATAATTAAACAGTTTTGTGACATTGTTATTCTTGCCTATCCATACAATCCACAATTAAAGACTGGAAAAGACCTCAAAGGGAATATTTTCCTTCTTTGGTAATGGATTATTGAGTTAAAAATTTTTACATAGTATTGAAGTTATTTTGCCTACAGCATCAAACCAGGCTGAAAAATGAAAGACAGATGAGCAAACAAACAAACAAAAGACAGCCTGTAATGATTTGTTTGAATCCTCTTTCTTCATCTACCCTGTCAAAAATTTAGTTGCAGCATAAAAATTCTTCCTTTTTTTTTTTTTTCTGCAACAAATCAGTGTGTGGTATGTGGGTAGCCTCAACCTAGTTAATATACTGCCCTATAAAATCCCTAAATTATGTATTCCCTGGACCAGTTCATTGCTAATTGGTGGAAATAAAGCTTAAGTGGCTTATCCATCTTGGATAGAATTACACAAATAATATTTAGCTTCACACAAATTGAACCTCTCTGTGATATGTTAATGGGGATTTCTTAACAATTTATAAGCTACACACAGAGAGGACAATCTGATTTTTTAATCCACACAATTTTAAGTGTAGATAAAGGGTTTTATTTGATATAGAGTAAAAACAGAGTTCTGTTTTTAAAAAAATTTAGTTATAAAAACTAGTGAATTTGAAATATAAAAATATAAGTTATTTGCTTTTCATGACTTTGTTTTTGTCAAGCTGATTTCAATAGCAACATTTTAAAAACTACTTGCAAATGATAATTAATTAACATCTATTTTGAAGTCTTACTATGTGTAAATAAACCTTAAAATTCATTTTATTCACTATTCAGTCAGTTCAGTAGAGATTATTATATTTTCAAATTAACCATTATCCAATTAATTTTGAATGATAAACAGCACAGTTGGAATACTGTTCTTTTTCATTTACTTCATTAAAGATTCATTTTAGGTAATCAGAGAATTTTGTATCAGCTGTTTTTTACCTTAAAGGTTTGTTTCTGACACTTTAATAAATTGTTCTGTAGTCTGTGCTGGAAGGTAACTGAATTTTTTTTGCTCAACAGCCCTCTCTTTGACACATGTTCATTTATTACTATTTCTTCCATCAGCTGACTCACTTGAGGCTAATTCTGATGAAGTGCTTTCAAACAAGGACCACTATTGGTTTACATTAACGAGGAAGTGGTGGAACGGCAGCTTCAGAACAGGAGAAATTAGAAAAAGAAAAATGATGAACCTTGGGATCAATTTTTCTATGAGTCATAACATAATTAACTATAAAATACGAAGCTGAAAAGTATTATTCTCAGTAGACTGATATTTTGCCTCATTTAGGAATTCTATATTAAAAAAACAAGGGAGAAAGATTGAAAAGAAAGATAGACTTAGTCATATTTAGAAAGAAAAATTGTGCAGAAAAGCTTGAGTTAGGAAGAAACAGATTTAATCATATATCTGGAGTTGGATGATAAAAGTCCCTTCTAGTTTTATGTTTGCACTCTAATTTTTCTATCATGTTATCTTCTCTAGCGGCATTTTTTTTTGTTATGAAAGGAGATATTCGGGGGAGATTATTCCATAGATAAGCATTCTCTAGTAACATACTGTTCACTAAGAATGTAATCTTCAAACTTCCATGCTGTAAACATAAAGTTTTGGTTAACCCATTCTGTCTCTCTAGTTCAGTTAATTTCGCAGGCCTACCACCAACTCAAAATATATAAAATATTTTACTTCTCAAATTTCCCTATATTTATTGAAGAACGATAAAACCATGAACCATCTTTTTTACCTCTCTGGTTTTAGGTCTTTCAGTTTTAAAAATATGTACATCTTAAGAGATATAGCTTATATATCTTGTCTACATAAATATCATTATAAATATATCTCTTAAAACATATGAAGATATATTTATAATGATCTTTTTGTAGACAAAAGCCATGCCTCCAATCAACTTGGACTTAAAGGTATCTAGATCCAGCTCTTCTGAAGGGACCATGGTGTATTTATTTTTCACAATTAAGCCTGTTTGTCAAGATTGGACTCTTTTGCACATTTTTATAACATTTGGCTTTTAATAAATAAAAGCAATAACTCTATGTTCTTTTAGATTCATGATTATATTTTCTTCAAAACTGTATCTTAATTTGACATAAAAGAAGTACTAACTCAGCTTAATCTAGTGGGAAAGTACATTAGAATTAGGGAAATGAAAACTAATATTTCCCAGATATGATCCTAACTAGCTATAGCACATTGGTAAATTATTTACCCCTGACAATCAAATTTTCTGAAACTCAGGGAAATAAAGCCGAGGCAGTGATATATGTCCTCACTGTTTTAATTAGTTATTTTGCTTTAAAGTCACATCTCATGCTTGTCCTTGGATTCACTGTAGATGGAGAAAATACATCTGGCCCAGAATAAGGGCACAAGCTTCTGCTCTTGAGGGCCTGCCCTCACAATATGGCTCTGACATTTACTAAATGTCTAGCTGTCAACACATTGCTTAACCTCACTACATTTCAGTTTATCCGTCTATTTAAAAATACGGTAAATAATAATACCTCTCTCATAAGGTTGTGAAGATTTAATTACCTTAATACATGCAAAAAAGTTACAGCAACTTCTAGCACATAGGAAAGTTCTTAATAAATGTTATGATTTTAAATTGTATTTAACAAATGTATTTATAAGCAATAAGCCACATTGTTGAAGCAAAAATCAATCTAATATGCACACTTAAACCCCAAGCTGCTTGCTATCTAAACAGGAGACAGATAAGCTAACAGGTGTTTTCCATATGTTATGATAGGGGATCAGTTACAAGTTTATACAAGCTAACATGGAAGCTTAGGGGAGAGGTAACTACCTCAACTTGGGGTGGGGGTGGTCAAAAAGTTTTCAAAGAGGAGGTTGTACTTGAAATGAGTGTGGAAGAGGAGAAAGAAAAAAGAGGGCCAAAGAGAGGGTCCTAACTTATAGGCATGAGAAAAAAAGGCTTTATTGGGAAGAAGCCAACATCAATATTATTGGACGTTAAAGTCTTCCTGTTGGTGTGAGACTAACTAGAGTCAGATTGTGAAGAAACGTGGAGCTATACTGAGAAGTTTAGACTTTCTCTTAAAGGAAAATCATTTAATATTTTGAGAGCAGTAACTTGAAAAGATTTTTGGCTTAACAAAATATATCCCTGGTGGCAGTGTTAAAAGGTGAACAAAGTGAGCAATATTGGTAAGAAATATTCAACAACAGAGGAATGATCAAGTGAATATTACCAAAGACACATTTTTATCTATAATATAATCATGTATAGGGCAATATAAATAAATTCTGACATCAGGGGAAAATCCCAATGCTATCATACTAAGTTAAAAAGCTAAGATATAAATGAATTATCTGGTGGTACATATATTTAAAGTACTTTCTAGTACTTTAAAATAAAATGTTACTTGTGGCAGGAGTTATGTGAATTTTATTATCTACTTTTATTTTTCTTTATTTTCACATTGTCCTCAATAAGCATGCATTTATTATCTTTGTTACCAGAATAATATATACTTTTAAACATTTTAAATCATATCAGTCGAATTTAATTCTGGTGAGTTTCTCTCTTCTCCTCTGGAACAGTAAAAACAATGTTGACTTACTTTTTAATTATGTAGAGTTTGTTAGATATAAAATGCTTGGCCCTTCCATTTTTATGTGATATGATATGATATGAAAAGTCATTTTACTGATTAGCAGCTGCAGGGCACTTGGGTGGTTTGAATTATGAATTATATTTGAGTTTTAAACAATTTTTTGGTTATAAAAGGTTAAATTTTCCTCGCTTGTCTCAGAAAGGAGACTAAAAAATTGAGTAAAATCAAGAAACGTGTTAGCACACATATATACACGTACACACGGGAGACTTTCAAAGCTTTTTTCTTAAACTGATGAATTAATGTTAACTAAGCCTTATTAAGTCCATACTTTAAATATTCTAAAAGAATTTTGATTTAACATTTTCTACTTTCATAATTATAGTAAGGAAAATAAACCGTAAATTGGAATATATATATTTAGAATTTGTTTAATTAACTAACATGAAATGTGTGCCAATATTATCAGTTATAAAGACATACAGAAATTTTACGAAAAATATGTTTCAAGTAAAACACATGAAGTAGAACAAATCTTTTTCTACTACCTTGATATAATGCCTCCTATCCACATCTTAATTAAAACAGTATGGTGATTTCATCAAAATTCTATAAATTGAAATACATCTCTACATTTATTATTATTTTTAAAATTCATTTATCAAAAATTATCTCCTCCTATTCTGGAAAATTTTTCAATATAAAGTAGAGTAAATAATGACCAAGATAATTAAAAAGTTAATGTTTTCTCATGACGATGACGATGATGATAGATAAAGCATATTGAGGATGTGTGGGTTGTTTGGTAATTAATTACATGTATGATGACTTGGTATCAAGGTTACAGGTCTTAAAATCTCAACTACTGAGACTTCTTAGAAAGCTAAATTATTGGCCGGGCGCGGTGGCTCACGCCTGTAATCCCAGCACTTTGGGAGGCCGAGGCGGGTGGATCATGAGGTCAGGAGATCGAGACCATCCTGGCTAACAAGGTGAAACCCCGTCTCTACTAAAAATACAAAAAATTAGCCGGGCGCGGTGGCGGGCGCCTGTAGTCCCAGCTACTCGGGAGGCTGAGGCAGGAGAATGGCGTGAACCCGGGAAGCGGAGCTTGCAGTGAGCCGAGATTGCGCCACTGCAGTCTGCAGTCCGGCCTGCTGGGCGACAGAGCGAGACTCCGTCTCAAAAAAAAAAAAAAAAAAAAGAAAGCTAAATTATTAATATAGATTAATTCAATGGCCATTCAGGGATTTATAAATTAAGATATCATCGGTTTCCTTGGGCAAACACTTATTGGTTAATAAAGACAATTTTATGGATTAGTATGACATTAAAAGTCTATTGATATGAGTAGCAAGATATGTTATTTAAATGCCAGAAGAATTGCTAATATCTCATTTGAAATGTAAATTTTATTTTTAATTTTGACTTCTACAGAGCTCTTCTGGGTTGGCATAAGGAATTATTTCTGAACAGATAATTATTTGGCTATTGTAAGGGGATGGTATTTAGAGCTGTATTTATTAGCTTATCTTGTCTGTTAAACATTTATGAGCTAGTTCTTTATCATCCAAAACGCCAAGGGAGCAAGAAAGATGAGCTGGAAAAAAGATACTATGAGACTTGTGGACACTGAAGAGATATGATCACAGGTTGGATTCTGTCTCAGGATGTTTTAAATATGTCAGAGCACATTCTCTCAAGATCCACTCAAGAGCTTGATGAAGGAATAGGGGGAAAATTAAAGGTATTCAATGAGGCATAAACTGCAGTAGGTGAGCAAAAAAGTAAAGCTCATCTCATTCATTCATCTCCTCAATTTCTCAGAATTACCATTTCAGGAAATGTACATCTCTATTAAGGAGAAAAAAGAGCCTTAAAACATCATAATATTTCAATCTTATGACAGTCATTCTAGAGAACAGGTGTCTGTGTGCCTGTGTGTATGTGTGTCTGTGTGTATAACAGTAGTAGCTCATTCTTTGTCCTAGAGAAAATGAGAACTTTTTTCCTTGAAATTACTAACAAGAAATAGCAGTGTCTGAATAATATTTCTACATATGCAAGATAAATTTATGTTTTTGAAATGTGTTCTTTTTCTCTGCAGATATATCATTCAGTCCTGTAATTTTATATGCCATCTAGATGCCAATACATCTCATTGTTATGTAGCACTTGAACTACAGACTCATCTAGCCAAATGACTAACGTGTTAGATGCCTAAAATTTATTTCAAAATCAGCATATCAATCCATGTACCCTTACTAGGCCCTTCTCCAAACTGATCATCTCCCAGTATTCCACATCTTAGTAAACATGCTTTCACTCACCTGCTCTTCAGGCTAAAATATTTGATACATCATTGACTCCTTTTTCTTTTACACTTCACATCTAATCCATCAGAAATTAAAACATATCCCATAGTCAATTGTTTCTCATTATCTCCATTATTACTGCCTAGCTGAAGCATTAATTTCTGCTTTGCAATAGCCTCCTAATTGGTATCTTTGTTCTACACTTGCTGACTACTGATTCTTCTCCATTCACTAATCAGATTGTTTTAAAACGTAATCTGATTGAATCAGATCCCTAGTCAAAAACCTTCCAGTGGCTCACATCTCACTTATGTGAATAAAAAGGCTTTATAAGAACACATTAAAAAATATAAACAGTAAAACAGTTCTTTCCATGGCCTAGTTCGCATTGCGTGACTTAGTCTTGATTCTTTGCTGATTTTATTTCCAACCACTTCTTTTGCTCAGTGTGCCTCAGCCAACCAGACCTCTGGAGGTTTCTTAAACATGCCAAACAATTCTACCCCAGAGCTTATGCCAATTGCTACTCTTTGTAACAGGAGCACTCTTCTTTTATATGGCCACATTAATGAATGCCTCATTACTTAGCTGTCTGCCAAACATTACCTCATCACAGAGGCCTGCCATGCTAATATATGTAACTCCCATTTATTGACAAAAATAACTCTATTTCTTTATTTTTTGTCACTCCCCCTTATAATATAATCTCATGAAAGCATGGATATTTTTTCTTATGTCTCTGTACCTAGGGCCTACTTGGAAGAAAATCCATGCTCAGTAAAAACTGTAGAACAACTGAACACTATTGCAGAGAAAGAGGAATGACCAAATATTTCATTTTTCTTAAGTACTTGTTACTCTTCCGTAGAAAAATGGAGGAAGAAAATCATGAAAATATCGCGGGTATTGGGTATTTTTTCCTTTAAAACCTCAAAATAGTCTCTTCTAAATTGCTAAGTGACAATTTTAGAACAAACTTTCATGATCTCCTACAATAAGTATAGAATTGTTATAGATTATATTAAGAATTGTTTTTATAGCCCCTGTTTCTTTTCACTATTTCAACCATCTAATGCTATCATTTACCTAGTTTGAGAAAGGGTTAATTACTGGCCAGAAGAATATACAACATCAACTGAAAGCAGCTGAGAGGGGGAAGTTTATAGGCATTAGGTGCAGACAGATGTAGTCTAATACAATATGTTGGTAATAACCTGCTACCAATGGAACATAAATTTGGTGCAAAGCTTTCTAACATCCAAAATGTAAAAGGGAAATTAGTTGTGAAAATTCCTGTTTCATAAGACTCTAAGAGACCAATTGCTCAGAAGAAATACTCTAGATGCTAAGTTTTTTCAGGATTTCTTTCAAGATCCTCATAGACATGGCACTATCAATGTGACAAGTGAGGTGATCAACAAAGCCACTTCTTATAAAGTCTCTGACACTTACACACAATTAAGTTTAAAAGCATCTACTATGGGCATGGTGGCTGTGAAGGGAAGCATCCTTGAAGATTTGAATGGCCTAAGAACACGGCTCTCTTCTTTTCTACTCAAATCCTCAAGTGGGTGTTCAAATACCTGGAGGAATGGAGACTTCGTAAATGTCAAAACCATTCTCCCCAATTACACATATTTGATAGACACTGAGTCAGGATGAATTTGAAATGATGCTTTCTGACGTACTTGTAGTACAGCTTGTCATGTTGGCAGTTAAACCCGAATGCAGGTGCCTGAACAAGCATAAAGCATGAAAAGCAAGGAGGAAGACGGTAGAATTAAACCTTCAAAGAAAACTCAGAAGTTTAGCAAGAACCTTGCCATCCCACCTTATCTCAAAAATAGCTATAAGACATTCATTCAGAAGTGGTCACAATTCTCTTATAAAATCATTTTGTATTTAGTTAAATTGTAGACAAAATAGTGTATCTGAATCCATTTTGGGGGCAAGAATTATCATGTCTGCTTCACTGTTTGGGTCATTAGCGTCACAACAACAAAGTAACTCATTGTCACATAAAAATCACTTGTTTTTACTTTTTATATATATAGCCAAATTAGGATGGATAGGTGAAAATGTTTATGTATCCAGACCATTTAAAAGTGATATATTTTTATGAATCAGGCTGTAAAATAATGGTGGATGCAATATATCCATCTTTACTCAATTTTAAATTCTCAATGTTATATCAAGAGATCCTGAAACTGATTCTGACTTTCTCTGTAATATTATGAGTTTGTTTTTCAATGAGCATTGATAAATTATTGAGCTCTTACAACTCAACCCATATCCAATTTTTGACAATGGAGTTACAGGCCACAGAAAAAAAAATAAAATTATATTTTTTTTCAAAAATAAGAATACCACAAATATTCTTTTAAAATAAGGACTGTATGTTAAATATTGACATTGTGATGTTAATTCCTCTTTATGCTTCTGGGATTAAAGGGCTAATTTAGAGTGATTGCAAATTTTGATAAGGTTTTTGATTGTAAGCTATCTACATTTGGAAGAAAACTTGGGACATGAAAAAAATAACTTTCTAAAATTTTCAACAATAGTTATTTTTGCCTATAGTGGTGCTTCTCAAACTTTGGTATATAAAATAAAATGTCTTAAAATGTTGACTTACGATATGCGGAAATACCTAGACTTCAACATTTTGATTTGGGTGATCCTAATAGAGATTATCTGCCTATTTTGAAAAACACTGGCCTAGAGAAAAAATGAACTTTGTTTTATAGAATGAGATCATTGATATAATCAATTTCTTCAGTTTTTAAAGGAGAGATTTTAATAACTTGTTTAATTTCTTGTGCATATTTAAGAATATTTTTCTACCTTTTAATCAACTTTTCAATCTACTACAGTGCTGGTCCCCAGAATGGTATGCAAGAACCCCTGTGGGTTAATAAACCTATCTCCAAGAAAAAAAAAAAAAAAAAAACACTTTTATTTCTATTCATTTTGCCCTTCAGTATAATGCATATGGCATAGTAATGCATTGGTATAGTAGGAATGCATTTAATTTATATATAAATAAATATTTATGAACATTTTGAGGATACTTGTTCAAAATTATTTTTATTGATATGTTAAAAAGTGTTGGCTGCTTCCAAATTTTGGCTACTGTGAACAGTAACAGATGAATGGATACAGAAAATCTCCTTTCAAACAACAAAGTACTATTCAACCATAAAAATGGAATAAGATCCTGTCATTTGCAACAACATGGATGAAACTGGAGGTCATTATGCTGAGTGAAATAAGCTAGGCACAGAAAAACAAACGTCTCAGTTCTCACTTACTTGTGGGGCCTAAAAATCTAAACAATTGAATTCATGGAGATAGAGAGTAGAAGGAAGGTTACCAGAAGCTGGGAAGGGTATCAGGGCATTGGGGGGAGGTGGGGATAATTAATGGGTACAAAAAAATAGAAAAATAAATAAGACCTACTGTGTGATAGCACAACAGGGTCAATAATAATTTAATTATACATTTTAAAATAGCTAAAAGAGTATAGTTGGATTGCTTGTAACACAGGGATAAATGAGAGGACAGATACCCTATTTTACATGATGTGATTTTTATGCATTGCATCCCTGAATCAAAATATCTCATACATCCCATAAATATATATACCTACTGTGTACCCACAAAAATTAAAATATAAAATTAAAAAGCAATGTTAGATACCACTGCATTAGAAAGAAGATTTTGCTTTTCATTACCCATAGGAGGAGAAATAGTAAACACATTTTATATAAATATATTAACTACAAGCTAGGGACTGTGTGTAGACTATGGGGAACATTTTATTGTTTAGTAAGGTAATGATATTGTTTTTTTCAGAATCAGTTCTGCTTTTTCAAGAGTTCCCTGAAATTTCAAAAAGTCATGGCATTAACCTAAATTCAAGTTTTGTTTTTGCTTATGTTTAAGCTGAGGTAGAAGGAAATGGAGATGCGAAGTACCTGAATTTCCAGTCCATGCTTTTAATCACTGTTTTTTTAAAAGGCAAGAGCAGCTGCTTGTTTCCCTTTAATGTTTCATTAACTTATTTTTACTCGTGCTATCGCCAGGCAGGGAATAGGTAACTTGGACTCAAGACAGTGGTAGGTGGAGGTGGGGCATCTTTTAATATCTGTTCCTATGATTCTTCCTGTATTACTCAATATCTGATCTTTATTTTCCCTTAAAATATTAAACTGGCACTATTTTTAATGAATTAAAACAAGAAGAAAAAATTAAATACAGCAGATTGCTTAGCAGAGGTGCTATGTATGAACAACTAAAAGCAAAGTCCTTCAGAGTTGATAAGAAGATTCCTGAATTCAAATGTTCTTACCAACCTCACCCTGTTCTCAGGGATTCTCCAGCTATCACAAATAGCCAGTTTGTTCTGTGGCCTCTCTGGTCTGTAGGCTAAGAACAAAACCACCAAGCTGTCAAATAATCAAAAGGAAGCCTGGAAAGATTGTCCAATGCCGTAAGGGGTCAATGAACCAGCTGTACTTGACTTTGATTTTATTTCTTCACAGTTCACTATTATCCCCCCACTTACACCAGGTAGGATGCAAAAAGGTTAATAAGTCAAATTAGAAGTTAAGATAAATATGCTATATGATAAATTCATTCCTTTTTAATAATAATCTTGTTAACAGTCAAAATGTGCAAAGAGTTACAGTAATTTTCATGAATAAAATTATACTGAAAAGTTGTTTTTATTGGGCAGTGACAAAGTCTTAACAATAGTTACCTTCCTGATTTTTCTTTAACACAGAAAACACTTCATTAAAGACACTAAGTAAACTAATGTAAATCCTGTGTGCTTTTCTAAATACAAGTTCATTTTAAAATCCACCTCATTGGTTGTTAATTGAAATCTATCACTTTTATTATAAATGCCATTAAAAGTCAGTGGACAGTGTAATATTACTACATATTTTATTATAGTCTAATAGTATAATGATTATAGAAGCAATGAGCTGAAGTTGCTTATTAAACAGAAAAGAAGAAGGAGGAGAAGGAGAGGGGGAGAGGGAAGGGAAGGAAGAGGGTAGGAGAGAAAAAAAGAAGGGTAAAAAGAAAGAAGGAAAAAATGCAAACCCCAACCACTTAAAATCGTAATATTCTCATTTGTTACACAGTTTTAAAATCAGTTTGAAAAGAAGAATTTTCAGAAGTCCTGAGATCTTTTATTTTGCAAACACAGCCTAGGAAGAAGAAATGGCACAACCTGTTGGTCTCATACCACCATTTCATTTGTGAGTAATGGACTATCGATATTTATCCTTATGTTCTTTAAGATGACAGTTTTTTGAAAGTTCTAGCAAGGGGCTGAAGCCACTCTCATGGTCTGGTGAAAGAAAAACTATCCTTTCTCAAGGAAGGTCACCATTTCAATGGAATAGCTTGAATATTAAGAAATATGAACATTAACTTTTGTTCTAAACCTGAGTATCATGCCATTCCCTTATGTAAGTGCCCCCACATGTGATCCATAAAAACCTGCCGAAAGTAGCACCACATTCTCTTCTAGCCTCTTTCTCTCCTGTCACCCTTATCTCTATCTCCTTTTATTATACATTCTTTCTATAGTCTTTTCCATATATGCTTCCAGCTTAGTAGCTCACTAGCTTCCTCTCAGCATGAAATAATATTCTTCTTCAATTAAAGTAAAAATTTTAAGTACTCTGTCTAGTTCAGATGTCACATTGTCCTGGTAGGCTCTGTGTGTGTGTGTGTGTGTGTGTGTGTGTGTGTGTGTGTGTGTGTGTTTGTGTGTATGTGTGTGTGTGTGGCAGTGGAAATGCACTCACTTTCTGTGTTTTTATGCTTTTTTTTTTTCTGACAGCTCTAAGCATCTTTCTATTTTTTTCTAAGTTATATTTTTTATTCTTTTTAGAGACAGGGTCTTACCATGTTGCCCAGCCTGGATTTGAACTCTTGGGCTTAAGCAACTCTCCCACCCTCCCACCTCAGCCTTTCCAAGTGCATGCCACAGTGCCTGGCTTCAGCAAATCTTACGTAAATTTTCTGTTGTATTTTTTTTTCTCCCTCAGACCATGAGAACCGTACCCTTAATTTTTTTTATTTCTCTGGAACACTATAAATCTTTAATAAATATTTAATGAATGAATCAAATAACCTATTGCTGTGAGGTGAACATGGAATTCTGAAAGGTATATATAGTTGTCCCTTGGTATCTGTGGGGAGTTGTTTCCAGGACTCCTTGCAAATACCAAACTTAATGGATGCTCAAGTCCCTCACATAAAATCATTTGGTATTTGCATATAACCTATGCATATCCTCCCATATATTTAAATCATCTCTAGATTACTTATAATACCTAATAAAATGAAAGTTCTACGTAAATAGTTGTTATATTCGTATTGTTCCAAGAATAATGGCAAGAACAAAAGTGTGTACATATTCAGCACATATGCTTTTGTTTTACTGAACATTTTTGATCTGAGATTGTTTGAATCTATGAATGTGGTACTCATATACAGAAGGCCAACTGTATACCTCTGCAATTACAGAAATGTGTTCAACCTTGGAAGCTGATGGAGTCTAGTTATTGCTGCTAAAATTCCTATCCCTCAAAAAGACATATATCTCCAAGTTATATTAGTATTTTGATAGTAGTTGGCCTTAGAGAGACAGCATAATGTACTGATCAAACAATAGGGACTTTGGAACTCGACTTTCATGCACCTACAGAGGCTGAGGTGGGAGGGCTGGAGGATTGCTTGAACCCAAGAGTTCAAGTCCAGGCTAGGCAACATAGTGAGACCCTGTCTCTAAAAAAATAAAATATATAACTTAGAAAAAAATAGAGAGATGCTTAGTGCTGTTAAAAATAAAAGCATAAAAACACAGAAAGGGAGTGCAGGGGTGCATTTCCACTACCAAACACACACATAATGAAGTTCACACGGTAGCTCTGCTACTCACAAGCTCTCTGATACTGAATTAATTAGTTAACTTCTCTGAATAGTTTCCTCATCCAAAAAATAAAAACAATACTAGTCTCAACTTTACATGGTTGATGGGAGGCTCAAGTGAGTTAATGCATAGAAAGCATTTGGAAGATTAAATAAGGTAAACACAATAAATGTCATTTATAAATAATCAGAACAAAAAGAGATTTATTACATTAAAAATAATCATGTCAATACTTGAGTGGATACTGAAGATGGCTTGGATATCACAGGAATTTTGCAGATTTTGCTCTCATAGTCCAGTTTTAGATATATGTTTCTTAGAAAATGATTACAAGGTATCTTTTCCTAATGTTAGACAGATCTTACTATAACCATTTTGAAAAGGTAAAATAAAATTTTTCTTTAAGTCAAACTTGTGCCAACTTTATTAAAAATGTTAAAATATGCCCCTGGCTGACAAAATGGGCTCCTCATGGCTAACTGGGAAGCTCAAAGTTAAAACAGAATTGGGCTGCGATGCTGGGTGAAGGAGCAATCATGTACTGTGTTCTCAGAAAGATGTTGTAAAAGTGTGTCAGGACTTCCCTTTCTAGAATCAAACCACAGGAAGAGGAATATCACACTCTGGGGACTGTTGTGGGGTGGGGGGAGGGGGGAGGGATAGCATTGGGAGATATACCTAATGCTAGATGACCAGTTAGTGGGTGCAGTGCACCAGCATGGCACATGTATACATATGTAACTAACCTGCACAATGTGCACATGTACCCTAAAACTTAAACTATAATAAAAAAATAAAAATAAATAAAAAAAAAATAAAATAAAAAATAAAAATAGAATCAAACCGAACAAGTTCCTGTTGTCATTGCCAAGATAAACTGCAGCTGGAAACCTGTCCCACCCCTCCCCTGACCATTTGAAAGAAACATCTGACAGAGACTTCTGGCTTGGGCTTGGAAACTCCCCGGTCAGAGATCAACTATTTTGACCAATCAGAAATGAACAAGTTTGAAGTCTTCATTTGCATAAATGGACCTGATTGAGAACATAGGGGAGCACTTTCTCTATTTAAGCCAGACTCTCACTTTGTTCCTTGGAAAGCACAATTTCACTTTTACCAAAGGCTGTGCCTCCCCAATCTGCAGATTGTTTTTTGTTTCTTGTTTTGGTATTTTTTTTAGAAAATAAAACTCTCCATTTTTCCTCCACAGATGTCGTGGTCTTTTGTTAACAAATACTTCAGGTATATGCTGTTTCCATAAAAATTGTAAAGTTATCTGTGTATGCCAAAACAAACAATGATCAATACAGAATTGATCTCATTTGCATATTAAATATTTAAAATCTTAGCTAAAGATTACTTCCAATGCTCATGAAGATATTTATCCAACAACATACAGTGGTTAAAATTCAAATCAATTTCTATGCCATCGGTCTCTTCCCTGAATTTCCCACAGCAATAAAAATGTGGCTGGGCTTACTGAGCTAATGTGGAGTTGATTGTTGGTGATATGAAGGTGGGGAATGAAAGTAGGGAAGGGAGACAGATGAAAAACACATAAATAACTTTAGAGAGTGGTAAATGCTATGAAAAAATAAGACAAGTTAGTGATAGAGAGTGACTGGAAAAAGGTGGACAACCCTTCTCTGAGGAGATAACTTTTGACCTGAGGCATGAAAGGCAGAAGAAATCAGGTTTCCAAATTCCTGGAAGCAACTTATTTCAAGAAATTAATGGTAGCACAAAAGCCCTGAGGGACAAACAATCCTGGCATGTATGAAAACCTATATGGAAAGAAGGATGGTGTGGTTATAGTGTAGTAAGTGAGTAAGTGAAGGTCAGAGTGGAACTTGGTAAATGCAGAGAGGGCGGCAGAGGGCCAGGTCATGGTCCAGAGTTTGAAGTTAATTTTAAGATTAAATGAGAAAGCATTGGAGGACATTAAGAATGGCTGTGGCATGCTCTATTTTACGTTTAACAATAATATTTTAACTGCTCTAGGGATAATGGATTCTATGTGGCCAGAGAGATAGCAATTTTTCTGGGAGAGAGAAAACAGATGCCTTGTCTTGCAGGGTTGCTGCAGAGATGGAGAGAAAATAATTGGGATATAATTTGGAAGGAGAGTTGACAGTACTTACTGATGAATTTATTCATTCAACAGATATATAATAGAACCTACTATAGGTACACACTGGTGAAAGGAATATCTCTTGGTATTATTGGGAAGTTGCCTACCCTCTAGAAAGTCATTTATAAAACCATAATAATTTAGCCAATGACTCTGCACACCACAAGTTACTATCATCACTGATGGGCTTCTTTTTCAAAATTTAAAACAGTAAATATTCAACAGTCATTATAAATAATTATGTATAAATATATATTGACATATATGTATTTTTAAGATGCATTCAGCAGAAGATTGGGTAAAAGCTGCATCAAATTTGGGGCAGTGTGATATATTTAATTTCTTTTTTATTTTTCTCAATAACTCATAATTCCCAAATTCTGTGTATATAAACATAACATCTCAGGCCATGTAGGAAGCTCTGTCTATATAGATTTGATTTCTTGAGCAAGTTAAGTGAATTGCAGAATGGACTTCTAAAAATAAATTGCAGGAGGATGGCAATTTTCAAGTCACATCTTTTATTCACTTTTGATTTGAATGTGTACCTGTGTGTGAAAGAGAGTTTAAGTGGATATAATAACAGCTTCAAAAAGGAGTAAGATTCTGTTACTTACACTTTATACTTTGAATGGCATTATTGAATATCTTAAATTGTGTTAGAAGTGGCAACTATAAATCAAGGAAACACTTCATGCTTGGAATCTTATCTTTTACATTGTTTAAGGTGGTAATTTCCATACAGTGCTAGAGGAGGCTAGCAGTCATCATGAACTTTCTGTTTACAAGAACATGACCTTTTCTTTACTTCTAAATCTCTTGGCTGTTTCTCTGGTTTTAGTTAATGTTCTCACAGAGAGGTAATTGAACACTGACTGTTCTGTTAGGTGTGAAGTTCAATGGAGACAGATCTGTAGGATCAATAACTGCAGACATGAAGAGTATCCTATCCACTAGTGATAGGTGATGAAACCCAATCTAAAGGTTTCTATTTGATTTGTGGGGTTGAATTTCTTATTTATATTAAATTCATCTCAGCCCTCTAAATTATCTGTAAAAATGTAACAACTAGTAAGGGCTTTAAGTTTTCATATCATTAATATATGTTTACCAAACACAGAGGTTGCCATAATTCTATGTATTCCTTATTCGAGCTAAACTTCTGCCACAGTCAGTGTTGAAGATAAACAAAGAACTTAGTGTTTCCAAAAATGTGTCTATTAATACAAAAATTAAAACACCTTAAAACCATCAACACTAGCAACTGAAACAAAAACGTTTGCCAAAAACATCTGAGGTATTTTAGTAGAGAACAAAATCAAAGAAAAAAAATTGTTTAGAGCAACCAAGCAAGTATTGCGTTCGATGACTCCATTCGTTTCACTGGAATAAAAAATAATGATGGAAGTGTTATCACTTAAAAATAGCTCAGAAAGCATAATAAACTGATACCACAAGAATAGTTTCAGAAGCAAAACATGTAATGAACTAAAAGCCTTTGTAATAGAGGATGTCTTTATCACATGATTTATGTGTTCAAGCAGCAAGAAACAACCAAGCAAAATTCAAGCTGTAAATAAACCCAGCACTCATGGGCTTCTAATACACCTCAAATATCATTTGATGATAAAAATGACATTTTAAATAACAATTGCAACCAAATTATTTATATTTTTTGTCCAAAAAATAAAATCACTTGCTTTTTATCACATCTTATACTGTTTGTGTAAAACAGTAAGAGAACCAACATTTATTTCTCCCGTTTTATAGACATATTCAGAAGCACAAGGAACTTAGATGACTTATTCTTCGCTATTTAGTAAACTAGAAAAAATAAAATAAGACAAGATTTTCTGAGTTTGGGTTATTAGATGATGCACTACCATTCCAGCTGCCTGTTTGATTTCATGAAAAAAGTGAGAATAAACTTCCTATTTTCTTTTTCCCCCTTCATTTCCCCTTTTCCCTGCTCCCCTTGACTCACTCCCCTGCTGTCCCTTTTTATCATTTTCTTCCTTTTCTCTCCTCCTCTTTTCTTGACTCCTCTCCCCTGTTCTCTCATTTCCCTTTTTTTTCTGACACAACATTAACAATTCATGTGAAAGTGTTACAGTCGGTAGTTAGTCAGACCCAGGCAGGGCAGGAGACCCCACCACCCCCCACCGCCTTCCAGTCACCAGGAATGTCCGGCCACCATCGGGTGATGGTCAGGCGGTTGTTAACTGTCTCTCTAAAATAATAATCGGTTGCAGCAGTGCCAGGGAAAGGCAGTCTCCTGACATATCAAAACCCTTGAAACTGGTGATCAGCAGCTTCCTGATAAGATCTCAGGAGTGAAGCGAGCAGGCTCAAGCATGCACAGTAAGAGGCAAGATGGCAGGGTTTAATTGGTATATGATCTTCCTCTAGAAACACTTGACTGGTAAGGCAAGAACACCTCAAGTGAGCATGCATATAGCTTCAGTAAACACACCATGCATGCTCACCTTCCAAATGTCGGCCGGCCACTGTGCATGTGGACAGCCTCCCCCAGTGGAAAAATCGGGCGAGAAGTAACACAACCGCAGAAGCATGTCAATGTATAAGATCCCAAGTCAAAGGTCAAACTGTGCACTGATCTCTAACACTGCCTGCTTGGCCCTCTTCCAAGTGTAATTTACTTCCTTTTGTTCCTGCTCTAAAGCTTTTTAACAAACGTTCCCTCCTGCTCTGAAGCTTGCCTCAGTCCCACACTCTGCCTTATGCCCCTTGGTCAAATTCTTTCTTCTGAGGAGACAAGAATTGAGGTTTCAGGAGACCTGTGTAGATTTACCACTGCAAACACACTTCGGTACCATGTGACCCAGATCCATTCCGTAGTGGTAACAAAAGGGCATGTGGTAGACACATGCGGTTATGGCATAATTTTCATTTGTTAATTTATTCAACCTATTGAGCCCATGCTCTATGCCTAGGGATACATATAGTAGAGGTGAAGAAGATAGTCACTAAACAGGTACCACCATGAGCTGTATTATGCATATGACTCTATTTGTGTAAACAGCTGTGACATCTGACCCAAACCCATGATCAGGCTCAGGGGATGAGAAAGAGAAAGCAGAGATGAAATCTGATAGACAAATAGGTTAAAGTGAGAGTAGTAGAGATATTAATAGAAAAGTACTGTAGGCATAAGAAGCTATACATACCAAAGCCTTCTAATACAGAATAAGCCCTGACATGTCAAATGGAACTCCAGGTCACCATTATTTAGCATTTACATACATACTCCATATCATATCTGCATATTAGCCACTTAGGGAAATGCTAAGCCAGAAGTATTTGCTTTCCTCAAATATAAAAATAGGAAAATATCAACATGTTTTAGAAAAGAGTTTATATTTTTATTTTCACTGTATCTAACTCTGAGGAATAACCAGAGGGACATAAAATAGGAATAAACAAAGTGAAATAAGGTAAAATGATCCAAAAGAGTCTTTGTCATTCACTGTACTTAAAAAAATAAATATTAAGGAAAAGAAACAAGACATATTGAAATATTTAGGTGTTATAAAATTTGTAAAATAGATAATAAAATCTAGCATTTTGAACCCTTCAGTAGAGTGAAACCTCACAAACAAACCAGAAAGAACAAACCAAAAAAGCACACATTTCCAAATTTAATTTTGTAGACTAACCAACTTCTACTTTCTCACCAACTCATTAGTCATATAAACACTGATACAGGGAGTGTTTTCTTTTCTTTTTTTCTTATTATGAATTCACTGATAATGTTTGCAAACTGTCCCTAAATGTGAAGAGCATTATGCACCTAGTACTTACATATTGCATGCCCCAAAATATATAGAGAAAAAAGGTTTTATCTGCTGACTAACATCCACATAAACAGGAGGTTGTGCTTTTGCTGTTGAAAGTTTATTTATGCTAAAGAGCTATTTTACTACCTTTCATTCCAAACTTTGGGAAAACTAAAGTAGCCAGTTATACTAGATGGAAAAGACTCCTCTAATAAAATATTGCAGCTTTCATTTATTTTTCGATGGAAACAAAATTGAAAAAAAATGCAATCTTACGGATTTTTTCATGTTCTGGAAATACACAGCAGTGCAAATTGTATTCCATCAGAACCGGTAGCAAATATTGTATTAGAAAGATATATGTCTACACAATAATATAAATCTCTCTCTTATTTCATGAGAAGACAGAGTTCAAGTTCAGGAGGCAAACATATTTTGGTCATTTTTTACAGCACACTTGATATTCTGAACTACTCATTTTTAAATAAATCCTATTGTGGAAAATTGAAACAAAACTACTACTAAAAATCTAGGGAAAAAGCACAAAATTTACTCACATTCTCTACATCCTTATGCTAACTCTGATCCTGATTTTCAGTGTTAACAGAAAGAATAATATCATACGTTGTAAGTCCATGGATCTTAGCTGACTCCAGATTTTACAAAATCTCTGCTGTGAGTGTGAATCCCTTACAGAAGTGGTGATTCATGTCCTTTTGTAAAGGTTAGTCCTGCAAATCTTTAAGGATAGAAAAAAAAAAAGAAGATAAAGGAAAAAAAAAAAGGTGACTGTAGGTCTTTCAGTGAGTGGAAATAGAATTTTCCACAATCTATATACTCCACAGGGGTCCATTCCTCTCACAGTTGGTGGCTGTTCTCCTCAGCTCTAAGCCCCAGAGCTCCCAATAACATTAATTGCTTCAAAGTCCCTGTCTAGAGAAGTAGATTTCACTCTAGTAGAAAAGTTACAAGTTAATTTCTATAAAAATAAATACCCCTGAGTTCCGGAGAGGGGCTAGGGGATGAAGAGACGTTGATTAATGGGTACAAACATACAGTTCGATGGAAGAAATAAGACCTAGTGCTTGAAAAATTTGTAGGGTGGCTACAGTTTACATAATCTGTTATGTATTTCAAAATAGCTCAAAGAGAATAATTCCAATGTTGCTAGCACAAAGAAAAGACAAGTATTTATGGTAATGGATATCCCAATTACATTGACTTAATCTTTCCAAATTATACAGAATGCATTAAATTATCATATGCACCACCCAAATATGTACATCTATTATGTATCAATAAAAAAGATAAAGAAAAATATAAATCCTCCTGGAACACATGTAGAAAATCTCCTAGGTCTCCAAGTTAGAAATATTAATATATTATTTTATGAAGATGAATATTTTGATGGAATATATAATTGCTTTGTTCTCCATGGAATATTATCTCATTGTCATAATTTTCTTTAAACCACTGTGTTTCTATGTGGTTTCTATTTCTATAAACCACAATGTTTATAGGAAATCAAAGCCAAAATCATCAAAGAATACTTGGAGACCTTGATATCAGTAATCACTTCTTTATAATCTGCTACAGACTTGGGATATTGCTTGCATTTTATTTTGTTGCTCTGCACATAAAATAGTTTTCTCTAAATTACCTCATCTATGCAGCTCTATATTATTTCAGCATTAAACAGAATTTCTCGAAGTTTGTTTCAGGTTATTTCATGTGGATGTTATCCTGTGCCTCACAGCTGCCTTTTCTCTAACCTGTCTGAAGAGCCAGCACTAATCCATAATGTACTGCACCTGCTATTAGATTCCATGAACTCAGAGATTGATATACACGGAGAAGGAAAGCTCATTAACCAGACTAGGTATATGAAAGTTCAGCAGACAGCACACGGAGAAGTTTATCATTGCAGTTCCATTATACTCTACTGTCAATTTCAAGTACACCACTCTTTCAGGCACATATTTTTTGTTCACCTGAATTTGCAAGTGGCCAATAGAATAGGTGAGGTTTAGTGAGTCTAGGCACTGCTCTGAACTTTGGAAAGTGTAATAACTTTTCTGGCTCCTGAACTGCTATTTTAGAGCATTCTACAATCAGAGCCTATTGAAACATATTTGTCAAGAAAACAGAAAATTCTATTTTTAATGTTGCTCTTTGTGTAGCATGAAATTAAAATGAGTAGAAAAAATTAAATCCTGTAGGACATATTAATTTCAAGCTTTTATACTTATTGTGGAAACCATCTGATAAGACTCCAGACTGTTTTGACTATTTTCAGTTGCTGCATATTTTATAGGGTAGTGTCTCAACTTGAATGATGGTGGACTACCTGGTGTAAGCTGTTTCACCTCATACATGATTAAATTATATTTCTTCCTGTCTGAACAAAGATTATTTGAAAATACAGGAAGGATGTGGCACCAGGGAAATACATGTTAGTATTTGACAAGTGTGGAACAGTGCAGAAAAATATCAATATGTGATGAAGGCATGATAAGAATCTAAGAAAAATAAGAGGGAGTTATCTGAATGTTAAATAGACAGATGTCGAAGTATGCTTTTGAAATCCCATTGAAATGGCCCTCATATCATTTAATTTTCAATTGTTAGGCTCATTTGGGCAAAGTAAGTTGGTATCCAGGGAAATCAAGAAACCCCATTCCTTGCAGTTGGCTGAATCAAAAAATATAACACATAATAGCAACAGGAGTTCATATGTAAATCAAGATGTAAAACTTTATTCCAACTCATATCTTCTGTTTTATGGTAAATTATAAAATAATGACATATTTTGAAATGTGTCAAACTATGAAAACAGGATATATCTCTGAATGCCAGTGAGAGTCAAAATTAAAAAAAAAACTGTTGAAAATGCAGAAAGAAAAAATATCAGAGACTTTTGAACACAGAATAGATACAGTTGTATTGTAGAGAGGGCCAACACAAAATAATGTGAATCCTCAAACTGAGTGCTGAAGAAATAAAGAAACAATACTGGCTTTGTTGTGGCATTTGCCTTTTTGACTGCAGAGCAAAGCTGCAGATGTTATTATAAACCAGAAAAACAAAATGTGAAACTTTTCAAGGTTATTTAATCCAGTTTCCTTCCTTTAGGCAGATGAATTCCCAAGGCAATAAGAAAGAACTATAGAGTTGTTGATTCTATTTTAAAGTACTCTAGAGGGGAAAATTCCAGGACATTCCTTTATATACTTTTTCCAGCTTTTATTAATCTCATAGGATGCTTACATACATATGAATTCAGTAACTACTAATCAAAATTCAAAATGGTCCTGCAAAATCTGGAAATTATATTTCAGTATACAAGTAATGGGAAGGTTTTTTTCTTTCTCTGCTTCCCTCAATATATCTACCATTAGATATCTTCCCATTTTATCTCATCCTTTAATTGTCAAATATGTTGACAAACTATTATTTCTCCATTTCCTCCGATCTTATAATTATAGATTAGATCCAAATTTATAATGCTTGTAGTATTTAAAATTAACTTGATTTGTGTGTGTGTGTGTGTGTGTGTGTGTGTTTTACAATGAGAGAGATGTAGCCACGATTTAATTGTATAAGAACATAGAAATCACGTATTCTTAGTACAAGATGAACTATTAGAAGCTCAGTAATAGATTTCGCATTTCTACAAAATTTCTGTTTGGACAGCTTCAACAACAGGGAACTTAATATGTCATGATTGTAGCCCACACAATTTTCTGACAGATTTAATTTATCCTTATATAATATTTATCCTTATATAATGGTGAGATTATATTATTATTTTATTTCAAAATGATTAGGGGCTTTTCATTATTTCCTTTTAAATTTCACCCTGTTAGATTTGCTTTTTTAATTCTAATATGCTAACAAAAACTAGATATTAATATCATAATCTGGTGTATTTACTTTCACTGTCAGCTTTGTGTCATGCTAGCATGTCCTTATTCATCCACTGATGAACATACTAAAATAACAATACTAAGTACAGAAAACTATCAATCATTTTCAAAACCACAGAGAAAATTACCATCCAAGAGAGATGTCATACATTGTCTACAGCATTTCTATAATATTAAAGTATAGATGATTAATGGAAAAGGAAATCCAGCATAGATTGGCTTTTATGTTTTAGAATTTATCCTAACACTACTGATCACCTCTTCTACTTATAAGTTCCTACAAACATCACTTTTATACACTAAGAGTCAGCTGGGAAAGTAGGTAGAGAAAATGGTAGTCTCTGGATGATTTCATGGATGTTGAACACTTCGCACTAAAAACACATTTCCCCCGGGACTTTGATACCTAGCAAAATGTATTCATGGATCTTCCCTTTAAAAGTCAGCTCTGTTAAATAGAAACATTCTTCAGAGTCAGCATATTATTTCATATCAATAATTTTAATCTTCATATTAACTAACTTCTTTCCTTGGCATGGTTTGGGTGAAAGATATGAAAATATTCTTTACTCTGACAAAGAATTAAATGATGATTGAAAGAAAAGAATGGAACAGAGAAGCTGGCTTATTGTTTTCTTTTTCTGGTTACTTCTTTCCTCATTCCATTCCTGCAGGCTCCCTCCTTGCCAGGCTTGTTGGAACCTTAAACTTAAAATAGTAACTCATCATCAAGTAGCCCCAATATTTACTTTCTCAACATTAGTGAGGTAAATATTAATCATAGCCCATCACCTCTCTATTTATGAGAAGACACTTACACAGAAAAAATCCAAGTGTGAATTATCTTTTCTTTCATTCAATTCTTCCTTCTTTCTGTGTTCCCCATTTTCTTTCACTTACTCCAAGTCTGCCTGCCACATTAAGTTCCTCATCTGGTATGATGGTTAATCTTATGTGTCAACTTGACTAGACCAGGAAATGGCAAGATATTTGGTCAGACCTTATTTTGGGTGTGTCCATGAGGGTGTTTTGGGATGAGAATAACGTTTTAATCAGTCCAGTGCACAACCCCTGTATTGGGTAAAGCAGATTGCCCTCTGTAATGCGGGTAGACTTTAATCAAGCTGTTGAAGGCCCGAATAAAACAAAAAAGCTAAGTAAAAGGAATTTCCTTCTGCTTGACTGCCTTCACTTTGGGACACTGTTTTTTCTTCTCTGCCTTTGAACTCTAACTGTAATCTTGGCTTTCATTGGGTCTTGAGGCTGCTGGCATTTGGACTGGAACTATACCATCAGTTTTCCTGGGTCTCCCCAGCTTCTTGATTGCATATCAGATCTTGGGTCTTGACAGCCCTCGTAATTGCATGAGCCACTTCTTTATAATCTCTCTGCCTCTCTCTATATCCCTATCTATCTGTCTGTCTGTCTGTCTGTCCGTCCGTCCGTCCGTCCGTCCGTCCGTCCGTCCATCCATCCATCCATCCATCCATCCATCCATCCATCCATCTATCTATCTATCTATCTATCTATCTATCTATCTATCTATCTATCTATGTATCTAAATCCTGCTGGGTCTGTTTCCCTGGAGAACCCCGTCTAAGACATCTGATAACTTCCGCCTATGCAAGCCGGGAAGTAAGCTCCATTTGGCCTGGGCTCTACCAGATGCTACCTGTAGTCTGTTTCCCTTGAAATCTGAGCAATATCTACTCAGATTGCTTGAGGCTATGCATAGTCCTTGTTTTGAGCAACATTGTTCCTTAAACAGTCATCTTTATGGACTAGTGCTTGCTTGATCTATACTTCATATTCCCATATTAGGATGTGCTATCTTATCCATACTATCGACCCTCTTGACCATCTACTCCTGCTGTGTCTGTCCTGGTCTCTATCATTTACCTATGTATCATATTTTGAGCTCACCATCAATTTACAATGACAAAGCAAGTATAGTTTGTGACTGGATAGATGAAGCCTCCTGAAACTCCCCTCTTTCACTATCCTATTCTGCCTAAAATTGAAATAAATGTGTGTAGCAATGATAAACTTTTTAAAGTGAGATTTATAAGACTTACTATAGTTTGATTAGTTCACAAGTGGTAAACATGGAAATATTAGAAGCCAAATAGTCTTTTATGTTATTTAAAATCCTGAGATTTATTTTAAGTTTAAATCTCCAAATTATGCTCTATGAGGGGTATTGGGTTCAAAATATTTAGAAACAGATGCATAATCCATGTCTTTATTGACAAATAGACAAACATTCAAGTAATAAGCACCAGTAACAATCACACCTGGGCAAGAGGTCCAGGGGAGGCAATGGTCAGTGTTCTGAAAATTATTGACTTACCCTAAAGAGATGACTAGGGCAGATATGTGTCAGGAATGTAGCCCCAGAATGAAAAGGGTATGATGAAGTGACTCTTACCTCTGTCGAGATTAAATTCTCAGTAAGGGAAGGAATGAAGAGAGAGGTTTCCACTTGCTTTCATTAACATTTACATCTCAATTTTTAAAAATTATTTTAGAATATCCTTGATGTTTTTAAAAAATATATACAAAAGGTGTTGATTTTGAAATATGCACAAAAATTGAAATATCTCAGATATAGCTTTGGTTGGAATACCTTTGAGGTACATTGAGGATTAATTCAACTAGTTTGTTATTCAGAAGTACAAGCAAGTTCTGAGAAATGAAGTTTCTTGCCAAAGATCACAGAGCATCCATGCGCCTGTTCCAAGTGTGGTGCCATTAAACCCAACAGACCTTTTGTTTTGTTTTGTTTTGTTTTTAATAGCCATGCAGTTGTAGGGGAAGACAGTTTAATCTGACAAAGCATTTTTGCCCTCACTTTCTTATCTTCCAGTCAAATTTAGAAGTTTCTATTTTCATACAATGTGAGTTTTTATTTATTTTTTTAGGAATTGAAAATAGTGTATGTGAATTATCTAATGTAATTTATTTTAAACACACCTAGAGCTTTACCACAGCCAACTTAGCTATAGCTTTGTTGACAGTGTATCTTTTTCTTAAGTATAAGCCTTTCTTCCATGAAACAAAGTGGGCATAGCATAAGGCTCACTATTTCATATTTTCTGTATACACTGGGACATGATGAGGACATGCTTTCCTAAGACCTCAGAAATGGAATCATTACAGAAGAAGAAATTAGAAAGCTGAAATAATCACAATATTATATAATGTTGGGATTCCCACACTGCTATACCATTGTACATCTATTTATAACAGAAAATAAAATTACAACTATTAAAGATGAAAAGACACACACACAAAAGGGTCAAGTTCTCTATCTTTGATTCCCAAAAAAAAATTAGCAAATATTTAAAAAATAAGCTTCAGGTCATCCAAGCACACAAAGATAATACAAAACTATCTAGTTTCAATTCAGCTTTATATTGTGGTCACTTTTAGAAACTGAAGTAAGTGTGCCTACTGAGATCTCCAGCCAGAAGCAAACTTAACTTATGGGCCTAATAGGCTCCTCTGATAAAATTATGATTTTTAATTTTTGGCTGGAGATTCACATATTAATATGTCATTACTATAATTAAAAATAGAAGCCAAATGAGATATTATATAATATTTAATTATTATATTAAACACACGCTTCTTAAAAATATGTGGTTTTCTTGACTACCATAAGAGAAACAAATTATTTAGAGGTGCAGTCTAAATTCTTTGTAGTAGTGCTAGAATTTACCAGCTAGTTTTGTGAAGAAGTTGTGAAATAGCTCTAAGAGGGAAATTTATGGCACTAAATGCTTACATTAAGAAAAAAAAAGATATCAGATAAAAAGCTTAATTTTATATCTCAAGGAACTAGTCAAAGAAGAAAAAAATTAGTCCAAAGTCAGCAGAAAGAAGAAAAAAATAAGGAATGCAGCAGAAATAAATAAAATAGAGATTAGAAAAATAGAAAATATCAATGAAACTAAGAGTTGGATTTTTAAAAAGATAAATAAAATTAGCATGCATATAGCTAGACTAAGGGAAAAGGAGAGAAGGCTCAAATAAAATGAGAAAGAGGAGATAGACAACTAATACCACAGAAATGCAAAAAGGGATAAAAACAGACTACTATGAACAATGATAAACCTAACAGGTTAACCTAGAAGAAACAGATAAATTCCCAGAAAGATACAATTTACCAAGATTGAGTCATGAAGAAATAGGAAATCTGAACAGACCAATAACGAGTAAAGAGAATGAATTGTAATTAAAGGTCTCTTAGCAAGGAAAAGCTCGGGACTTAATGGTGTCACTGATGTATTTTATAAAAAAAAAAATTAGAGAATTAACATCAAATCCTTCTCAAACTCTTGCAAAAAATTTAAGAGGAGAGTACACTTCCAAACTCATTTTATGAGGTTAGCATTACCCTGATATCAAAGCCAGTTAAGGGCCCTATAGGAAAAGAAAATTACAGGGTAATATTTCTGACAAACATAGAGACAAAAGTTCTCAATGAAATCCTAACAAGCCAAATTCAATACCAAATCAAAACATTAATACACCACAATCATGTGGGATTTATTCCTAGGATGTAAAAATGGTTCAACATATGCAAATCCATAAGTGTGATAAACCATATTAATAAGATGAATAAATGACAAAAATCATATGATCATCTCAATAGAAGCAGAAAAAGCATGTAACAAAATTCAACATCCATTCATGATAAAAAGCTCAACAAATTAGGTATAAAATATTCATCACAACACAATTAGTGCCATATATTACAAACTCACAGCTAATATCATCTTTAGTGGTGCAAAGTTGAAAGCTTTTCTTCTAAGATTAGAAGCAAGAGAAGGATGTTCACCCTAACTGCTTCTATTCAATATAATATTAAAAGTTCTAGCCAGAGAAACTGGGCAAGAGAAAGAAAAAAAAGACATCCAAATTGGAAAAGAAAAAAGTTAAATTGTTTCTGTTTGCAGATAACATGCTCTTTTATATAGAAAACTCTAAATATTCCTTGAAAAAACTGTTAAACTAATAAATTCAGTAAAGTTGAAGTATATGAAATCAATGTACAAAAATAGTAGTGTTTCTGTACACTGACAAGTTATCTGAAAAAGAAATAAAAAAGATCCCATTTACAACAGCATCAAAAAAATACTTAGGAATAAATGTAACCAAGGAAGTTAAATACCTATATACCAAAAACTATAAAATATTGATGTAAGAAATTGAAGACACTAACAGACAATCATCCCAACTTCATGGATTGAGCGAATTAATAGTGTTAAAATATCCATATTACTCACAATGATCTACCAATTCAATGAACTTTCTATCAAAATATTAATGACTTTTTCACAGAAATATAAAAAACAATTCTAAAATTTCTATGGATTCACAAAAGACCCAGAATAGTCAAAGCAATCTTGAGAAACAAGAAGAAAGCTGGAGACATCATGTTATCTATCATCAAACTATACTACAAAGCTGTGGTAATAAAAACAGCAAGGTACTGACATAAAGAGTGACATAAAGACCACTGAAACAAAGCAAACGGTCCAGAAATAAATCTATGCACTTACAGTCAACTGATTTTTGCCAGAGGTTGCAAGAATACAGAATGAGGAAAGAACAGTCTCTTCAACAAACAGGTGTTGGGAAAACTGAATATCCCCATACAGAAGAACAAAATTAGACCTTTATCTCACACCATATTTAAAAATCAACTCAAAATGGACTAAAGGTTTAAATCAAATACCTGAAACTGGAAAACTACTAGAAGGAAGTATAGGGAAAAAACTTTTTGACATTGGACTGGGAATTGATTTTTTCTTTTCCTTTTTTTTTTTTTTTTTTTTTTGTGTGTAAAAACCCAAAAGCCCAGACAACAGAAGCAAAATAGACAAATGGGATTGCATTAAGTCAAAAAGCTTTTGCACAGCAACGGACATAAATAACAGAGTGAAAAAGACAACCTATGGAATGAGAGAAAATATTTAAAACCATATATCTACAAATGCTTAATATCCAAAATACGTATCAGGAACTCAAACAACTTAATAGTAAGAAAAGGAATGACCTCCCTTAAAAATGGGCAGAAGATTTGAAAATATATTTCTCAAAGGAAGACATACAAATGCCCAACAGGTATACGAAAAAATCCTAACATCATTCATCATCAGGGAAATACAAATTAAAACCATAATGAAATATCACCTCACACCTGTTAAAATGACTATTAATCAAAAAGATGAAAGATAACAAAGTTGGCGAGGATGTGGAGAAAGGGGAACATTTGAACACTGTTGCTAGAAATATAAATTACTTCATATTATGGAAAACACTATAGAGATTCCTTCAAAACTACCATATGATCCAACAATCCCTTTACTGGGTATATAGCCAAACGAAATGAAATTAGTGTGTTCAAGACATACCTGCATTCTCATGTTCATTGCAGCATTATTCACAGTAGCCTAAACATGGAATCAATCTATGTGTCAATTGACACATGAATTAATAAATAAAATGTGGCATATGTATGTATCTACACATAAAATAAAATATTATTCATCCTTAAAAAAGAAGGAAATCTTGTCATTTGTGACAACATAGATGAACCAGGAGGACATATGCTAAGTGAATAAGTCAGGACCAGAAAGACAAATACTTCATGATCTCACTTATATGTGAGATCTAAAAAAGTTGAACTCTTGGGAGGCCGAGGCAGGCAGATCACGAGGTCAGGAGATCGAGACCATCCTGGCTAATACGGTTAAACCCTGTCTCTTCTAAAAATACAAAAAATTAGCCGGGCGTGGTGGTGGCAGGCGCCTGTAGTCCCAGCTACTTGGGAGTCTGAGGCAGGAGAATGGCGTGAACCCGGGAGGCGGAGCTTGCAGCTAGCGGAGATCGCGCCACTGCACTCCAGCCTGGGCAACAGAGCGAGACTGCCTCTCAAAAAAAAAAAAATAAAATAAAAATAAAAAAAATAAAAATAAAAAGTTGAACTCATAGATCCAGAGAGTAGGATGCCAGTGGCTGGGGGAAAGTTCGTGGAAAGGAACAAAGTTCCAGTTAGATGGGATGAATAAGTTAATAGTTAATAGTAACATATTGTATACCTAAAAATTGCTAAGAGAATAAATATTTTAAATGTTCTTGTTACAAAAATAATAAGAATGAGAGATGATAGTATGTTAATTAGATTGATTTAATTATTTCACAATGTTTACATGTAACAAAGCATCATGTTGTACTGTAAAAATAAAAAAATTTTATTTGTCAATTATACCTTCATAAAGCTGAGAGAAAGACCTAACTTGAAAAAAATAACAATGGAAAACATTGCTACTTCTTTACTGCTAGAAATAAACTTTTCACTACCCACATTACAAAGTAAAAACCATGACTTTGTAATGAAATCTACTGAAAAATCAGTCCCAAAGTCAAATTTTATCAAGAAAAGTATTTTAATATAGATTTAAATGCATGACCAGTAAGATGTGCTGTAAATAAAGAAAATAAATATGATTTAGTTTAAAAGACAGGAAAATAAAACACATTTAAAAATGCTAATCTTATTGTAAGGTGCATACATAGAATACATACTGGGTTTAGAAGGATTGTGAGAAAAAGTTCACCTCCTCTGATACTTTTATCCAGTTCTTGGGGTCCTCCTGGATATTCTTTGTAGAAAATAGTGTGAGTGAACAACCCACAAGTCTGTCGAGGGAGGACCTGAGTAAAAAAGGGGAAAAACAGCACATGGACGTGATTTAATTAAGAACTTCACCTGTGTCTCATAACTTTAGAATCTGCAAATTGTAATTTCCTATTGGATTTTCTTGGTTGCTAAGGCCAAATCTTATTATAATCACAAGTTGATGTTGGTGCAATTCTGTAAATATTAAGGGAGTTTCCATATCAAAGGCATAAAAAATATAGGTTAAATAATTTTCAGTTGGTTTTATAAATCTAACCCACCACCTGTGTTATGTTAAATGATTAGGGAAAACACAAAGCCTTCTTAGGGTTAAGTTCACCCAAAGATGGAAATTCTCCAAGGTTCCGTCTTTCATGCCATTAGGCCATTACTCTCTTCACTTCTGAAATCGAGTCCTGCATTGTAAAGGTATGCAGGTTCTGGGATTTACCACAATTGGTTTTCATAACCCCTTCCACATTAGCTTTGTTTTCACTACAATCTGAATTTACATTTTATGATATACTAGTCAAATTATTTAGTGATTACTTCTGGTATATTTTGTGGTTACTTCTTTTGTAAGTCTGAATGTTTAATAAAGAAAGCAAATAAGTAATTTTATTCCAAAATCATATTTTGAATGACAAACTACTGGTAATTTAATGGACAAATGCATCTAATTGCCTACAGTTTTTTTTTTCAAAATTATTTGCTTAATTATCATAAGGGTTAATATTAAACTTAAGGTAAATAAATGAATATAATATTGGTTAAAAAGAATGCTTTCATTTCATAATATGTTGAATGGTCATTCAAGGCAAGGAATTAATGCCATACAAGATCCAATGATGTTTTAGATACAGAAGGTAAAGGAAAGGTAAAGGGAAACCTGGGTATTTTCACTATGATTTGAAATTATGTGAGTAATTCTATTTATACCTTCTGGATTTCTATGGCCATCAATGCCACTATTTGCATTATCAATAGCTTCTCTTAAATCTGAGGCTTCTTCAGGCCTTCTGGTACCAATTTGCAATAAAATAGAGCTTCATGACTAATAAATATTGTGTATCAGCTCTGGTTAGATATATGTGTGTGCATTTGCTTTACTCACAGATGGCGATTAGATAGAAAAATAAATCATAGATAGATAAATAGATGATAGATGGATTTTAACAGCAATATGAATAATGAATTAGGAAGGTGTAAATATTCAAATGAGTAAGAACAGTTTGTAAACCAATGCTCTGATCTTGGCAACTAATTATAAAAACATCATCTAAGTCACTAGAAGTAGGTATACTTGTTTTAAAATAGGCTATTTTATCTCAAAATGAGTAATATAATGTTTTCTTTCCCAATGAATGATTGCAAATTGCCTTCTGAAATCCAATTGGTTTTATTCTCATTTATTAGGATTCCTACATCCTATTATTTTTCAATTACTATATCTGAAAAGAAAAAACATATACCTCCCTTTTTGGAATATGCAAGGAAAAGACAAAAAGAGAGAGCAGTATTCTTAGATACTTTTGAGTGCCTGAAAGCCAAAATAAACTGAGTGAATAAATTTAACTCTCAGATGCTATTTGTAACATTCTGTCTGTTGACAGAATAACAACTTGAGAGGTGTTTTCTTAATCCATGCAGCCTTACTCTGCCTGTAAAACTCTCAGTAAAACCACCCAACCAAATAGATAATGAGAAATTTCCTAGGAAAAGTATGGAATCCACAGGCAAAATTTCAATACTGAAACTAAAGTGGATAATCTATACATAACTCATTCCTGTTAGTTTCAGCTTGTTTTAGATTTGCCAAAGCCACTCCACAGCTTAGGAGCAAGCCTATCACCAAAAGATGGGTTAATGCATAACCAGTCACCATTGAGATATGTTAGGTATTTCTGATAATCATGTAAAAGAGGTTCGAGGTTACATCCTTAGAGGAAATGGCCCTCTGTCTTCATTCCACATGTAAATATTAACATCCTTCAATATACATGGCTCTCTGTGCTCACCATGATGCTATTGTGAATGAAGCCCTTTCTGTACCGGGCAGGTTTCAGATGTGGATATTCTTCAGTGCTGGTGACTTGAATACCCCAGACCTTCTTCCAAGCTGCATACAGCTGAATGTGAACCGGGTAGACCCCTGAGTGATGTGGGGCCACAGCATAGCCCATGTTGATTGGTATTCCATGTTCCTAAAACAAAGCCAGAACAACATCATGATGGGACAAGGCCAATTAATTCAGTGAAAATCATTTCCACCAACATCTATTTAGAATACATTGAACTCTATGCTAAATATGAGAATTAAAAATCCAGCAAGGTAGAGGTTTTATCTTCGAGCAGCTCATAATCTTATAGAACTCTGATGGCATAACAGATATAGTCATTACTTTGGGCATGTGGTGTGTGGGTGAGATTAATTTAAAATTTTGAATATGTAAAGTTTTGGGGGAAGATAAGAAGTGAAATTAGCCCTTCCTTGGATAAATGTGGGGGGCGGGGAAAGGTGTCATTTGAGGAAGCGCTCAAATATGAAGGATGAAAGGGCATAGAATGCGTGTGTACGTGTGTGTGTGTGGCGGGGGGCGGGTATTGAAGAAAATCAGAAAGGTAACTATGAATAATGAAGTGATGAGCTTTTACATTTAAACTGAAAGATTTTGAATTAATTCGATTTCAACAAGGTAGATAAGGAAGCTCTCTGAGCCTGGAGGGCCAAGATCTGCTCTGAGTTTTAAGAAGAAGAACCTAGTGACAGCATGTTAAGATAAACTGTAAGGGGAAGAAAGTGAATAAAGGCTGTGCATTAGGAAACTATTTCTATGCTACCAATTAGGTGAACATAGGTAACTAAATTAAATTATTTATGGTCAGATTCAAAGGCAGGGGATTAATACCATACAAGATCCAGTGATGTTTTAGATACCCAGGGTAAAGGAAAGGTAAAGGTTAAGATTTTCTCCTTGGTTTTGAACCTTAACAACTCAATTTGTTTTTATAAATCTTACACTTCACTATGAGATTCTTGGGTAAACAGTCAACTCTAAAAGAAAACAAGTATAAATTTAAACAAGAATATAAAAAATTGTCAAAGAATGGGATTATATTGCTAGGTACATAAAATAGATCTGCAGTTTTCTAATTTCTGTTTCTTTATATCCCTCCCTTTAAATGCTTATCTGCTTTAAAAGACTCCTTGTAGGATTGAATCTCATCAATTGAGGTTATAAATGACAATGCACAGTCACACATGAAAGCTGATTGAATCAATAAACAGAACACAAAAGTGTTGACTTGACAATTGCCATTTATATTTTCCATTATATGGTACACAGCATAGGAAAAGAATTCAGTCTCGTCTAATAAGCAAGTAGTGAATGGATCACATATCTACAATGCCTTAGTCATACGCTACACTCAGTTCAGAAGATGAACCCTAAATTTTTCACAAGTCTCCATCATTCTGCCTTTCATGTAATGACCCTCATTGTATAGCCAAAGTCACCTCTCTTTCTCCAAGACTATGGGTGTTTCCTAACATCTGTTACAGTAAATGACTCTGTAGAAGACTGAATTATGAAATCAATGCTGTAAAATGAGCTAGAGTCTTTTGCTAGACACTGGGGAGAATTTCATTTCTTGATCTGTGCAGAAGAAAAATACTTCTTCCTAGCACTTGTGTTTCCAACACAAGGCAAAGCTGGAAAAGTCCAGTAATAAAAGTACTTGGAAACTACCAGAGAGGACAGGCAACAGTTGTTACCCTGATATCACTAGGGAACATGTACTGGGACAGCCTTAGTTCTCTCAGGTTTCTTCCATGCTCGCCAATGAGTGGTCACAAAGTGTTTTGAGGATAAGCAATCCTCCAGCATCCAAGACATTGCAAGCTTGTGGATGCATTGGGTGTGAGACAGATTTTTCTCATTACTTCATGAGAAAAATCTAGAGACAAGCGTGTCCAGACTCCTCTGTCTGGTAAATAGAATTTGTATGAATGTGCCTAGAGAGGTGCTCCTGATGTACAGGAAAAGGGAATCAACCTGTTATCCTCCTTTTTACTCTCTCAAGTGATTCATACTGAGGTTTTATAAGGCTTGTCCCACAATGTGAAAAGTGACAAAATCAACAGTGTACAAATCCTAATAGTCTTAACTAATCACTTTGTTAGTCCTCATTCTCTATAACTGTATAAATTTGACTCTAAATTTGGGGCCTAGAAGGTTAGATGAAGTATGTGAGTGTCCTAGATACAAAGCAATGAAAAATAAAATCAGCAAAAAGTATTGAAATATCAAACAACTATATCTCCTCAGGAAAAAAAAAGAGACATTTCACTTTTGACAGGTAGTAAAATGAATTGTAGAACTTTCAAAAAAAAAAGGTAAAAAGCAATTGATTCGGTGAGTAGGAAGGAAGGGCAGTAAAAAAAAGTTACTATATTTATTGATTTCTGGGGGCCCAGTGTTATACTGTTCATAAGGTCATCTTATCACACTGGCAACTGGAGCTCAATTAAAATAGTATATCACACTATATAATTATGAGTTTATGCTTTTTCAATCTAAATGACAACACAAAGTGGGAAGTAATTCCCTAGCAACTCTTTTGCTATTATCATGGCGCTTACAGACCGAGAAGCTTCTATTTTCTATTGTCCAGGGCTTAAAACCTACTTCGCAGAGACTTGGCCAACTAGAAAATCAACCAAGCATCATATTTCCAGAAGATCACAAAAATTACAAAATTTGAAAAGCCTTCCAATGTAAATATAGGAAGCACTTGAGACTCTATAAATATAGACACGTAAATGACAGAAAACAAATAAATTCAAATATGGCTTTAATTATTTATTAGAATAATGTCTCTTACAGGATCTATGGAGTCTATACTACAATAAGACATGATACCACAAATATTCAGAGGGGTTTGACTTGATCTAATGTTTCCAGTCCATTAAATCCCAGTTAGTTGCGAAATAAGATATTGCAGTAATTTACAGACTATATGAAAAAGATCACCATTTTTCAAAAATTAGAATAAAATAAAATGTATTTAGCACTAAAGCTCTAACAGCAACTGAAATAATGTCATTTAATTTTCCCTTGATAATTCCTACTGATCATATCTTCTTTTAATTGCTTAGTTGAAATGGGATGGTTCCCTTGGGTTTGCTAATTTACTCAGCCCACAGCTTTCAATCCCTAACAGGACGGGGAGCATGTAGGTGAGTGAGCAGGTGCAGGGGCCAGCATGAGTGCTTCTGGGCACCGGCAGGAGTAGTTGCACTGTGCTCTTTTAGCTTTGCCGTCCATGGATGGCTTGTTTAACAGCTCGGTGGAAGGTCAGGTGACAGCCTTTTGCACCCGCCCTCTTGGTACCCAAGTTCTTGTCCAGTGCTGAGGAAGAGTCAGGTCCTATGAAGGAATTGAAGGGTGGTGAATGTGGGGCGGGTTTATTGAGTTTGTCCATGGTCGAACACTTCTCCAAAGTCCTGCTGTCAAGCTGGCCCTCTGAAGTCAAGCTGCTACCCTCTGGCATCCAGCTGCTTTTTCTCTTCTCTCCTCTGCTGCTCTGCTCTGCTGCTCAGTTGCTCTCCTGCTCTGCTGCCCCTCTGCCAGTGGTGGAGCCTGGGGTTTTTATGGGTACAGGATGGGGTGTGGGGCAGGCCAAAAAGCAACATTCAAGTGGGAAAACAAGAATGCATGTTCTCACTTTGGGCCGCAGTCCCAGGCTTGAGGGTGTGGCCCCTGTTGGGAACCTCCCTCTTCTACCTAGTATTTTCCTGCCTCATGTCTGCATCAATATTTATGAAGTATTTTTACATTTACGTGTAATATGATTCTCATAATCATTCTGTGAGGAGGACTGGATGCTGCTCTAAAATGTGGAAACAGAGGCTCAGAGAAGGCATGTAACTTGCTTATATTCATTCACAAGTGTCTGAGCTATACTTCTACCCAAGTTGTCTAGATTCATCATCTTTGCTCTTACTTTTTCACTAAGTTGCTTCTACTGTGACCCCTCCCCTCCCCTCCCCAAAGTATGAAGACACTTGACTTACAAAAGGGGTTTGATTTTAATATGCATGTTTCTGAACTGGATCTCCTGTTCACTTTTTTTTTGTTCTTGGAGAGGTTATAAAACAAAGTCTACATTTCTCAAACTCCTCTGCAGCTATCATTTTTTTTATGAAAATGAGTTTCAGCCTTTTAGGAGTACTCAAGACCAATTTCAGAAGGCAGTAGGAAGGCAAATCCTAAATTTTGGCAGCTCCTGGCTCCTGTTGCTGGCTGTAAGTTCTTGCAAATAAGCAAGTTTTTTTCTAGCAGTGTTTGGTGCCCATTTGCAGGGCAGCAGCAGAGGCTTTTTGTTTTTAACGGAGATCCTGTGGCAGCCTCAGAAATGGCAGCTCCCCCAGGGAGCCAGTTCTATATGGTTCTGAGAGTCCCTGCAGGAGTACAGCGTACAATCTGCTCCATGAGTCCTTCCAAAGATTTTGGAAGCACTGAAATCATTAAATAAAGTCTTCTTGTTTAAAATAACTTAAAGTGGCTTATGTTTCTAGCTTGGAAACCTGACTGCTAGAGCTGATTTTTGCCCATTTCTAATAAGTATAAAAAGATTTAAGAACTTCTGTTGAGACGTCTAGTGGTTTAAGTTCTAAGAAAACAGAGGAAAAATTTGGTAAAACACTGCTCAATACTTATCCAATAAAGCTGATTAACATAGTAAATATGTATTTTTCTAGCTGGATACTATCATGTAATGTATGTGACTGTTAAATGTCATGCACTGAGTAGCCAGTGAATACTGTATAGAAAATAAATAGGAGACTACAGTCATTTAAATGAAAAATACCAAATGCACATCAAAACAATTAAGTTAAACTACACTTGAAATAATTGTTTTTCAGTTCATGACTTACGTTAAGCACTTTGCTAAGTACTGGGGATGCCCTGGGTATAAGATAGGGCTTCTACCTTCATGAAGTTTGAAACCTGGAGACAATTGTGGAAATCAGATAGAAGTGTCTTAATTTTTGGTGAATTTTAACCTAAGATTATTTAATTTTTTAAAAAATATATTATTAATTTTAACTTTTAGGCATTTTCCTAGCAGAAAAGAATGATATCCTTGACACGAACATCTATAGAGGCTGAAATCTTCATCCTACTAACATTTCCTTAGTAGAGATTGAAATTAAAATAAGAAATTTATATCTAGGGGACTACAATTTTAATCTTCCTCAGGCTATTATTAGTAATTGGGTAAATGCAATTCAATATAATAAATTGTGTCTAGGAAGCTTTTGATAAGAATGGAATATGGATAATTACTGCTTGTGTTACAGTGATTTTTCTAGTGATGTGGCTGCACAAGCAATTTTTGACCCACTGACTTTATGTTGGTAAATGTTTCCCACACCCAAAATAATCAAATGGAACTTAGTATTGATGCTTCCAAGAATGATTTTTCTAATGGATTTTAAATAACAGTTAATAAGTGTAAACTTCAGAATCAAAAATATTCCAAACAAGGTCATAATCTCATAAAATACTGAAAGGAATAAAGTACTCCTGATCAATGGTTATTATGAAAAAAATTAGTATCTTGAATTCTTGAATCAATTTGTTTATATCAGTTTGTTTTATTTTTAGATGAGTAGAATTTATATATACTGATATATAATATTTACATATATTATATAATATAATTTAAATTATATTATATGATATATACATATATTAATTTATATATTATATAATATAATTTAAATTATATTATATATGTATATGATAAGGATAAGCTTAAAAAGATAACATTATTAGATCCCATGTATTTCCCATAAAATTCACATAAAAAGTTTGAATGTTTAATAATAAGCTTAAATCTTAAAAACAGGACAAATAGGTATTCATTCATATACCTAAATATACATTGACATATACAAATAATTTTTAAATAGTATATTTACACTATAATTCATATCTGCACTTTTACCATCAGAATGTTATTTTAAAAGTAATAACTTAATTATGTAATTCACCAGCATTAACTCATCCAATGGTTCCTTGCTGTGTTCAGGTTAAAGTACAAACTACCAAACTTTGCCCTCCAAATATCAGTAATGATTTCCTCTTGGGTACACTCTCTGATTCTTTTCTCCCACCCTAGACTGAGATTGGTTAGGTACGTTTGGGGCCTTATAGTCTTACATGAATATCTCTACATTAAAACTTTCTTTATTACATTTGAGTATCTCTGCCAATAGAACTTAATCTCTTCGTGTAGAGAGATTATTTCCGTTTTCACATAATTATATATAATATTTTAAGTACATAATAAAAATATTTGTTATTCCAAACAGTATACTAGAGCTTGGAATCTGGAGACTGGTTGGCTGGATTTGAATTTTGGCTTTGCCAAGTATTAGTTGTATGACCTTGAGAGAGACTTATTTTTCTGTGCCTCAAATTTCTCATTTATAAAATTAGTTTAATAATATTAGGGGACTAAATAGTTGGGGGGAATAGATGAGTTAAGAATTCCTCTGCTTGAAATAGTGGCTATGAAGTCATAAACTCTATTTAAGTGTTAATTTGTTGAGAAAAGGTACATAGATCATTTTGGAAAAACATCAACTTTGGGAAATGCAAGCACAAGGACCACAAGCTTGAGTCAAGTATAATGACTAAGGATTGAAGCAGAGAGGAGATTTAGACCAACAGCCAAATACTTTCCTAGGTCCCACAGAGGTGGAGCAGAGCTAAAATCTGGAATAAAAGTGGCCTGTCCATTACCACTGCCACCTCTTTCCACCCTGCTCTATAATTTAGGGGCCAGAGTGTGTGAACTGTTTCAAGGGGTTCTCTTGCTTTCTTGCTTCCAGTTGAGTCTGGCAAATGGAGAATCCTGGTAGGAGATCAGAGAGAAGAAAGAGTGAAGTGGATATTTATTCTATTAGCTCTTCTTATGCAATGCCATCTAAAGTTGTCAGACTCCTTCAATCAAAGGTTAAAACAACTGTCAAAGTGTCCCCAACCCCACATCACATATAACTCTCTCCATCTCAACTCTGATGATCTTTTTTCGCCTCTTCCCCTTCAAACTTTGGGATTTCACAGCTCACCATCTGCACTGTGTTTAGTCCTAGGATAATACTCTATACCCTACTTATTCCTTTGTAAATAGTCTTCTTAATAAATCCTCTGCAATTGTCATTATCACCTCTAATCTTCTGGCATCTGATGTGTTGCAAATAGTTACTATGAAATCTGTCTTAGATCCTAGGAACACAGATTAACACTATGGTGAAACCATACAATGTAGGTAACCTCACAAAAGGGGACAGATTTTCTTGAAAGAACACTGCTCCAATGGACTGATTTTGATTATCACAGCACCTTGGTGCCAGCATGCATTGCAGTGCTCCTTTGTGAAGATAACCACATCTTTAAAAAAATGGGCAAACATATCCGAAAGCTTCACATGCGGGGGTAGAAGAAACGATAGGTGAGCACAAACACCACCCCGGTGCTGCATTTTTGGTCAGGCACTGACAGCTACTTTTCAGGAGACGCGCCACACCACAGAGAGCCAGAGAATAAAAGAGGACAGCCTGTGGTGGCCCATGCCTGTAATCCCTGCACTTTGGGAGGCCGAGGCAGGCGGATCATGTGAGGTCGGGAGTTCGAGACCAGCCTAACCGACATGGAGAAACCCTGTCTCTACTAAAAATACAAAATTAGCTGGCTGTGGTGGCACATGCCTGTAATCCCAGCTACTTGGTAGGCTGAAGCAGGAGAATCACTTGAACCTGAGAGGCCGGGTTGTGGTGAGCCGAGATCATGCCATTGCTCTCTAGCCTGGACAACTAGAATGAAACTCCGTCTCAAAAAAAAAAAAAAAAAAAAAAAAAGACAAATGGAGGTGCAGAGGATTTGGCTCATAAACATACAGGAGTCATTGCCAGGATTTTACACAAATCGCTGGGCAGAAACTTGAAAAGTGGATGAAGGTGTCAATATAAAGAGGGGTAAGAACCAGCAAATGGTATTTTCTCTATTTTTATGACCCTATGTTTGCACTCCAGGAACTATGGCTTGTAAAACCAGCCCACAATATATTTGAGATAATATATCCCCAGTCCTTAGCAGAGTGCTTGGTACATTGTTGGTATTTGATAAATAATTTTAAAGGAAATAAACATATTAAAGAAACACATCATAGGTGTTTAATAAATTAGTGTGAAGAGAAAACAATAAAATAATGACTGCATAAAGTAATGCACTTGTTGTAAAGAGATAATGCATTAAGCAGTACCTTGTTGAACTTAAAGTGCTGGTTTCTTCTCCTAAATGCACAACTTCTAGGGAGTGACACTGGCGCTACAGAGAATAGATCTCATTATCTATTTCTCCTTTTAGTAAGGACTTGGATTCATATTGTCAACTTTGAAAATGATCCTAGAATCATTGATTTTCCACTGTGTTTAGGGGACTGAAATTGTCTTCTTCTGTTTTCATAAGTGATAAAAGTAATGACTATGTGACCCTGGAAATTGGCTGGGTGAGTCTTGACACTTTTTGGACTGAAGCCTAGCAAATGGTGACAAATCTCTGGAGGGCTCTGTGTTACAAATGGATTTTTCTTTTGACAAAAGAAATAGAACAGAAATGGCATTACCTCTACAGTCTTGAACTTTCCGATCCTAAGTAGAGCTATTTTGGGCAATTGAGACACATCCTTTTAATATTCTTGACCCTGCTGAAGGTCTACTTTGCTGCTTAAAGGGGACTAATGGAAAAACCAGCAAGTTTTCATTCACATTGTATAAAATGTGCCATTTCTGTTGATTTGGCACGTGCTTTGCTAAATTTTGGTTCTGAAGTCTTACTTTATTGACAATCAACATGTCCAACACATGGCTTATTAATTCATTTTATTCATGGTGAGGATACAGCAGTGAAGAAAACAGAAAAAAAAATGCCTGCCTTCAGGGAGCTTACATTTTAGCAGAGTGAGTCCAAGGTCATACAAAAGAAGTAAGTAAATTGTGTAATATATTAGAAGGTGATTAGAAATATGGAGAAAAATAAAGCAGAAATATAGAGTGGAATCAAGGGGTACGGGTTGCAAAATTAAATAGATCACTCAGCCATGGTTTAATGGAGAAGGTAGTAGTTTGAGTTAAGGTAAAAAGTTGTGACGGATTGAGCTATACAGACTATTTGAGAAAGATTATTCCAGGCAGAGGAGACAGCACAGATGAAGCCTGGTCATTTCTGAAGAATAGCAAGAATTCTATTGTTTTTGCAGCAGAGTTAACAAAGGGGGAGATTAGCAAGAGATGATGTCAAGAGGCAGAGTTGCTGCAAATAGCTTTGAAAATTTTTCACTGAACAACTCCAGGGGGCACCGTTCACATTTACCATGCTTTTCCAGAGGCTGTGCAATGCGGCAACACTGAAGAGAAGGAATGGGTACAGATCTTTTAGGTTTTTACATAAAAACATTGTTATGATGATTACTTTTTTTTCTGTAGATATTTTCACATGCTTAAAATTAAAATCGTGGCTACTATTTTATTTTTATTTTGTTACCATTGTATTGAAGTGGAAGTTGTAATAACAGAAGTATGTGAAAGGTTTTTTTTTTGTTGGTCGATTTTTTTTCATTGAAATAAGAAACAAGATTATCAGCTGAGAGTAGGGATGAGATAATTTGTGCGGTAGTTTGAAGAGAGAGGAAAAGGTATAGAAGAGTAGGATTATGAATGAAATAAAGACTTGTAATGTCTGGGCAGCATAGAAGGTCCCCTTGGGGTCTATGGCCAGGTATTAAAGTGAGAACAATTAAACACTGGTCCAAGACAAATTTAGTTTCAGTAGTATAGGCATAAACTTGGTGTCAATTTGGATTTAACCAGGGTTGAGGCTCTATAGGGAAGTATGATAAAAAGAAAAGTGTAAAGAAATTCAGAGCATATACAAGGGAATGAATGCTTACTATGATTGGCTCTTGCAAGAGGTTGAATAAGGAGGAAAGCAAGCGCCCAAGAAGAGTGAGGGACAACAAAGATGTGGTAGCATGATATCCTGAGAAATGCAGAACTGCATTTTAGCACTACTCCCTTAATTGCAGGACTGTGTTACATAGAGAGATGTTTTTATATTTAATTTAGAAGCAAGAGAAAAGTTACAGGTATTAAGTATTAAGTTTCTACTAGTGCCTTTAACCTGGACTAAATGATAACATTCAAAATTCTTCAACGTGTTAAGTCAGGTGGAAATAAGAATGGTATTATCCAGCCCATTATTACATCATTTCTATAGTACTGTAGGCAGAAATGTGGAAAAAGAAGGTACTTAAAATAATTTTGCTTAATTCAAATCATACAATTTTCACATTATGATTTTCTATAATTTTGTCTTAAGTAACGACTACATGTAAATATCTTGGCATATTTCTCTTCATTCTTAGTACCTCAAATATTTATGTGCAGCACACAAATAAAATATTAGGCTTTAAAAAATCTTCGATCTGATTGCATATTTTCATGGAGTGAAGCATTGATTTCAATGGGATAGCCGGGGATGCCTGTGTATGTGAAGAAGACAAGTGGAAGAGGGCTAAATGTCCTTTTCGAAGCTGTCTACCGTGTGCTTCATTTTATGATTATGAACATATTTCCAAACTTTTTGGATCCTTCTACAATTATATATAGCAGCTGATGGGTTAGAATCATTAATTCAAAGACATCACTTTGCAGAAAGAGTAGATTAGCATAAACTACTACTTTCTCTTAGCAATGGATTTTTTTAAATATTATTTTTGATTCAAGCTGAGATTTCCCTTACGAGGCATTTTCCCAACTTAATGTCAGCTTAACACATTTATGGAAAAATGTTTTAAACATTTGGTATATGCATGAGCCATCCCTCTGAATGTCACTTCCCTCCCCCACCCCCCAAATACAACGTGTTATTACATTTTGTCCTTTTATGACATCCTGTGCCTTCTCTTACTTAAAATAATGATTGTTTGCAATTTTGTGGAACCTTTACTACCAGGCAAAGCAGGTTAAATTTCATCAGACCAAAAGTAGGTTCCTATTAATAAATGGTACCTATATACTCAAAGAATTAAATGAATGATTTCATTTACTTGAGTAACTGGCCATATAGATTATTAAATAATTATATTTTTCTGTAGACATGTTCACACATTTCAAACTAAAATCATATGAATTATTATATTTTCATTTTGTTATCCTGTTGAAGTGATATCATATTTGGAAATAAGGTCATCAATACAGTTCTCATCCCCAAACAAGTTTACAGTAAACACCCCAATTATCCTGTGTTATTAACCAGCTTTAATTCTCTCCAGTGTAAACATATTTGGAAACAATTTCTTATATTTGAATATTGCTCAAGTTACTGCAGAAAAGACTGCAGAGAACTAAAGTGTCAACTACTTTAAAAAATCATGGAATGCTGAAGATGTTCAGCTACTATAGATAAAGTATAAAGGACACCATCATACTAAAATAATTTTTCAAACTCAAAAATGCAAAAGAGAAAAGAAAAGAGGCAGAGAAAGAGTTGTTTTAACTAATAGTTTGGAGGGATTATCCAATTTAAATAGTCATATTTAGTAGAGCAGTTAAATAATAATAATAAAACAAAAGAGGGAAGTAATAATGCTTTAAAAATCATTGAAAACTTTGGCTTTTAATTATTTCACAGTCATTTAATAATTAGAAACAAGGGTGATCACTGAAACAGTGAAACTAAATTTTGTGAGAGCTAATTATGCTATTATTGACCACTTCAAGAATCCAGTCACAAAACTGTTATCTAATAATTGATTAATAACTCTATCAATTTTTTTAGAAAGTATTAAAATATTAAATTTTAGGATATTATTCTATATAAATATTCCTTTGAGGGTCTGCAAATTCTAGACAATGGGAACAACTTGAATATAAGCAAATCTCAAAATAATTTAAGAGAAAAACTCTAAGGGAAAGCATTAGAGCATGATGTCGGATAGGGAATGGGTCCAGCCTTTGTACCAAAAAAGGAACAACCCCAAAAACAGTAAACTGAAAAACATAGGAATTTTATTTTTATTTTTTTCTCTCGTGTAATGGGGAACCTGTAGAGTAGTGGTTGCTAGTATTGGTTCAGCAGTTTAAGATTGCCAAAAGTGAGGCCTCAGATTCTCTTGGCATTTGCTCCATAGTTTTATGATGGATACTTTAGTTCCAGCCAATGGGACCATACAGCAGGTTAGAGAAAGAAATAAAAGCTAAGGGCAGAAGGGCAGAGCCCCAGCAATATCTAGCCTCCTTTTATGAAGCTTTCCTGGAAGCCCCATACTATAAGTTGTGCTTTCATCTGATTGGCCAGAACAATGTTCAATGCCCACTACCTAAAATAAAAGCTGAGAAATTTATTCTTTTAACTGGACAGTTTGGCTCCACAAGCAAACTTTGGCTTTATTGAGTAAGCAAGAAAGTAAACATTGGCATTGAGTATACATTTAGAAGTGACGTCCCAGGATTTAAGACATCTGTAGCCTGAAACGAGAAAGTAAAAATAAGGATGTAAATTCCCTGTTACTAAGCAGTCTACTTCCTATGTACAAAGTACATGTAAGAATACTGATTTAGAAGATTATAGGAGAGCAATAAATTATGATATATTAATTAGGAACACGGGGAGGTGAGATGAGAAACTGGAAAATTGTTATTTCAAATGTAGAGCTCTAAGCAAAGGTCATTTATACAGTTGGATTTAGGGTACCTGAAGCTCTAACACCTAGGATAAAAAGTTCCTCCATATTCTGGACCACATGAGCTACTTGATTCCATCTTCTCCTAATTCCCAACACAAAGCTTCCTCTGGAGCCAAATCGATTTATTATTTCTTTCTTCAACATTTTATCCACTTTTCCGAGGTTCATTAAGGCAGGAATATTGGAAATAAAATTTTATTGTCCATAAATTTCATATTTCTAAGGGTATAGTAGGTCACCTATAGTAACTGATGAAAAATGTGCATTAGCTAAGAATTCATGAACTACTGTTCATCATTATGATTCCAATTTTTATACTATCTTCAGAACCATGTGGAAGTTAAGGTTTGGTAAAATGTTGCCAGCAACATACTGCCTCTGTCACATATTTCCTTTCTTTATTTGGTAGTTACAACTCTGTAAAAATGTAAAACTTACTGTTAACATACCAACCACACACTAACAGACTGCAGGCTAAATCCCACAGGCAGTACTTCCCAATCCATAGACAGGTTGTTGCTAAACCTATGTGGATTTTACTGGAAGAGTACAGTAATTGGGCATAGTCTTGTGCTCTTTCTGCTACTGCTCCCTCTGTTTAGGGGTTCTCCTCCTGCTTTCTGCCTCATTCCCACCTACTTATTTTTCACAAATGTTATCAACTCAGTTGTTCATTTTTTTTTCTTACCCTTATAACAAACAAGTGTCTCTTTTGTGGCTGCACCGTGTTCTGTACATTTCTCTCAAAAACCTAAAATGTCACTATTATTCTTCATGCATTCTCCCCTCTCCTATCAACTAAGTAAGTAAAATCTCAGCGTCTCGATCATTTTTGCATCCCTGGTGTCAAGTAAGTTGCTCAGCAGATAATGCATATTCATCGTCTGTTGAGGAAAGGAAGAAAGGAAGTCAGGAAAGAAAAGAAGGGGAGAAGGAGGGAATAAGGTTGAAAGGAAGAAACAAGCAAAAAATAAAGGACTGACAAATGAAAGGAGGGATGTAGTTTTCACACTGAAAGTGTAAATTTTTGGACATAATTGGAAAACAATAATTTCAAAGATTCACGTGTTCACATGCACATGAATGAACACTTTAATTAATTTTTTCACTTTTTAAAATACAATTTTTATCATCCATGTTCTTTTTTCTTGGAATGTTTGTTAAAATATTAGTTTTTTCATTATTAAATACTTGTGACCACTTTCAGTATGGGGTTATGGATAGATGGAGAATTGCAAAGCAAATTAGAATGTCTTGTTTCTGTTTCCAACTTGAATATTACATAACCTTGAAAAAGTTATTTGGCTATTTCATGCATCATCAACCTCTTATTTCAAAAGTAATGATAGCATGCTTCTTGAAGAAATATGGTAAAACTGATGATAACCATAATGATAATGATGACAAATACTTTTGAAACACTTATGTGCCAATTACTCTGCTAAGAATTATGTATACATAAACATGTACACACAATATCCAATCCTCATAAAAACCTTTGGGGTAGGAACTACTGGCATATTTATTTTACATATTTGAAAATTATAGCACAGGAATTTTAAGTAATTTGCCAAGGTCATCCATATAATAATCGTCAAAGACAGAATTTGATCCAAGATTGGTCCAAAGCCAAATACAAGGGTTTGACTTCTACACTGAGCAACTAGGTAAGGACTCATGTAATGTGAACTCATATCACACAGGGAGGAGCCTTTATGTATAAAAGTAGCTAAAATTTTGTTTTCTTCTGAAAAATATGACTTCTTTTGTATTTTGTGCACAGACCATTGTTCTGAATAAGTGAAATAATAGTTGTAGAAAATACTAATTTGCTTTAAAGCAAGTAAATTAAGTATCCCCAAGTACATTAACTAGTTATCAGCCTATCCCCTGGGGGGAAACCTATGTTATAATTTTCATGTATAGGTATTTGAAAAGAATTGGAGTTCTTATAGTTAATCTCAGAAAATCATTTAAAAGCATAAGACTACAGAATGATCAAGTAAAGCAGAAAGAATGATTTTTAAGGCTTTACACTTACCAAAAATAATAATAACAAGGTATCCAGAAAAGACAGATGTAAATCTTGATAGATTAATATTAATGAATTTTGAGTGATATAAATAGCTCATTTTTCAATTATTGCTGCTTGATACTGAAGTGTATTTTGTAGGGGGCATTTATGTCTTTGAGGTTAAATGTGTTCAGAAACAAAACAGCTGCTTGACAAGAAAAAGATGCTGCAGTGAAAAAAGCTATTTGGTGGGTGGGAGGGTCTGCTATTGCCATCTGCTAGGAAAATCAAATAGATAAATATGTATTGTAGAGATTTTCTGTCTAAGGAAAATTCTTTCATCTACCTGCCAATACCAGACCAGCAAGTCAAGGACTTACCATGATATAACACATGACAAGAAAAGCCATTTTTCTCTAAATCCATTGCTGAGAAGTATGAATATTAATAGCTAATGAAATACCAATTCTAATTTGCAAGCAAAAAGTTCATGCTATCCTTTATGTTGTAAGTTTGGTGAAAATAGGAATTGACGAGAACCTTGGAGACTGCTAGAATAAGCCAGTTAAGAAATTTTTAAAACAATATCCTACTTGTAAAATGGGTAAAAACCTTATCTATTGCCAATGGGTACCTAAAGAAAGAGAAATAGAAAATATGTTTTCTTGTTATTCAATATGTGAATCATTATGCCATTTACACACCTCAATTTTCCATGCTAATCTAAGCTTTATGCAATAAGATCTCAATACCTAAAGGTGAGTAAGTTTTTCAACAATTACTCATCTATTCAAATGTCATTCATTCATATGTTACTTTAATTACCTGTGCTGTGACCAAAAAAGGCTTTAAGAAAACCGGGCACACAAGTTGGCTCATTTTTTTTCTTTTTTTTTTTCTTTTTTTTTTTTTGTGGGAAGGCCTTGTCCATTTCTCCCAGAGACCATCAGCTCTTACTTTGCAGTGCTGCGTGGTGGTACAACTGGAAACACATGGCAGCTTGTGAGTTCTTTGTGTGACTATGCACAAGTCACATAAACAAATTCTAGGGCTCGGTTTTCTCATTTGTAAAATTGAGACCTTTCAATATCACTTTAGAAATAAGCCTAAGAACCTTTCTCCATTTGATTTCGAAACTGAGAACAACTTAGATTTATATAATTTTAGAAGTATCAGGAGCTTTGATGGTCATCTAGTTTGATCACTTTGTTTTTACTGAAATGAGAATCTGGCTACTAGAATCAAATAACATGACAATGGCTGCAAGAGAAAGTTATCAATCTTACAAACTTGGACCAGGAGACTGAGGAAGTAGAAACAGTAGACACAAGAGCTCAAAAACTCTAGGAACATAGTTTAGGAGCAAATAGTCCTTATAATATCAGCAGATTCCAAGAACACATCAGGAGCACAGTGCAGTGAAATCATTCATATTAACAATGAAAACTTAGTCTTTGTGAATGATAAAAACTTAGTCTATGTGAATGCGATGTGATGCCTGGCATGCATTTATTAACTTAAAAGCAGTAAGTTATGTGTTTTAGGAAGTTGTTCACTGAAATGAATAAAACAATAAATAACTCAAATGCTGAACTTTTCAAGTGAGAAATGGCTAACTCATTCATTGTAATATAATATTCTATACTGAATAATATAAGAAATGTATGCATACTTAATATCAACAGCAAAACTAATTAACAGACATAATGATGAACAGATATTTCTATTAACTACATGGATATAAAAGAATACTTTTAAACTGCTATAAAATGCCATCCATAAATAAGTGTTCTATATGCAGTAACAAAATTATTTAGCCACTCATATAAATGAGCTTCAAGCTTACTAGCTGATGCTCTGTAATTTTTCCCACTGTGATTTTATTTTCTTCCACCCTAAGACTATTTTACTGATCACAAATTTCCAATAAAGAGAATTAACTATATTCAAGATCATTCACATACTCCATTTTCTAAACATTTAGCAAATTTTCACTGCTCTGTCTTCCAGGGAAATGCTAGTAATATTTTATGTTATTATTTGGTTTTTTTAAACTTAATTTTTTTGCCTATCCTGTTTTATGACTTAAAAATACTGTTTCAAAAAATTCCAGATATAATAGATTCTTTTAAAAAATTCTAAAATCACGATGGATTTAATTTAAATTAAATTTAATTTGAATGCCCAGTCTAGAAATTCTAGCATTGAAGGAGAAATTATTAGTAATCCTAGATGCATATCTATCATGAGGCTTAAATGTAAAAGCAGGATGGCAACTTTGGCACATAGTATTAGCAAAATGAATTAAACGGATTGAGGTATATTAGAGAAATGAGATAAAATAAAAATGATCTCATCCTTTGGAAGCAAGGAAAAGAGGAAATGGAAGATAAGACTAGAAGATAAGTAACTTACTTATTTTGTGAAAAACAGATAAAAGCTATACTCTCTCCAAACAACTTTTTGATACGGAAAAGTTAAATTTTGAATTGACACAAGATAATGTTACTAAAACATTCTTTTTTCCTGGCTTTTATAATTTGTTCTTAAAAGTGTATATATGGTGATATCATTTGGATCTGTGTTCTCACCAAATTGCATGTTGAATTGTAATCTCCAGCGTTGGAGATGAAGCCTGGTAGGAGGTGATTGGATAATGAGATCACAATTCTCATGAATGGCTTAACACTAACCTTCTTGGCACTGTCCTTGCAATAGTGAGTGAATTCTCTGCAAATCTGGTTGTTCGAACATGTGTAGCCCCTCCCACATCCTTGCTACTGCTCCCACCATGTGAAGACATCTCACTACCAGCTTTGCCTTCTACCAAGGTTAGAAGCTTCCTGGGACCTCTCCAGAAGCAGAAGCTGCTATGCTTCTTATAAAGCCTGCAGAACCATAAGCCAATTGAACCTCTTTTCTTTATAAATTCCCCAGTCTCAAGTATTTCTAGCAGTGGGAGAACAGACTAATACATATATTATTTTCATACTACATGTATGAAAAATGGTAGGAAGGGAAACACTTCCAAATTCAAGAACTGTACAGCCTTGATGGAGGCAGCTCAGCATCAATTTGTAGGAAGCTCAGGGGAACCTTGGGGTCAAGGTGAGAGTCACCAAACCAGGAGAAAGACCATGACACAAGAATGGCAACAGTGCGGATTGACTGTAGTCATCAATGAGTAAGTAGCAACTACAGGAACGGAGGCACACTGAAAACATCCAAGTACCAATCATTAAAAAAGCCAGAGGGGAGCTTACAGCATGTGAAACAAGGGGCCAGTTGCTAGGGGCTTGTGGGCTATCTTAAGTTAGCTTAGAGGGCTTTGAGACAAAATGTGACAGAATCTAAATTACATGTTAAGAGGATCACTGTAGCTGCTTTGCTGAGAATGGACTCAAAAGGCCAAGAGTGGAAATTAAAAGCAATAAAGATGCTGCTGCCATAAATTAGTCAAGAAAGAATAGTAGGATGCAGAGTTGTGCAATGGTGGTATGAGGAGCTCTGTGGACCATCTCCAAGTGAGACACCCATAACAGGTGAAAATTATTTTAAAAACATTAAAAATATCTGGAAAGTGAACCAAGGGGATATAACCCATGCAAAACCATTTATTCAAGAAAATCTACTACAAATGGTAAGAACAGTGAGAGTCGATGGCATGTGAGCCATGACCTGCTCCTTTCTCTTCCTGCCCCAGTTTAGAGTAACAGAATTCTTACCTTGGGTAAGTGTAGCCAAGAACATAGGGCTACATCTCTCTGTAGTGTCAAGTCTAGGCTTATGATTTCTCCTTGGAAATGGCAGTCCACGGCATTTCTCCTCTCCGCATCTCTGTATGCAGAAGTTCTATTCTAGTTAACAGCAAATTTGAGACCTGGAGTTTTCCTCCACTATGCAGCCCCACTCATAGAAAAGAAGCTGTACTCTAAGTGCAGAAGGCCAAGAATACTGTAATTTTAATTTTCCCTTGCCTCATCTCAATTGTGGAGTGTTGATTCCATTCCAGGAAAGGAAATCGGAGAGTAATAGGGGCTACTACCCCAACCCAGGACCCCGCCTATGAATCTGGGTGTTACTTTGAGAGAAGTAGACAATTGTAGTTACCTTTATCTCTGAGCAGTGGCACAGAGGTTTTGCTCAGGGAGAGAGGCAGGTCTCAAGAAGAGAGATCTGCAATGTTCTCCCCAAGGAAACACTTTATTTGAGACACAGTGTGAAGAACTTTCAGCCTAAGCTCACTCTCAAACAGTAGAGATTTTAACAGTAAGCAAGTAAGGAGGAGGCTGTTGTTATCATAATTAAGATAGAAAACAAGTGAATCATTGACTAAATAGAAACTTTCTATCTAGAGAGAACCAGATAAACAGGTAGCTAAGAGGAACACTCTTTGGGTCAGTAAAAGCCTCATAATCTGAGTGCCTTTTGTCAAAAGCAATCAAGTATACAGCTGATAATTAGTATAGGCTCACTTCTGACTAAGCTCTATTCGAGAGGCAGACAGCTTAACAAAAACATCAGGAAAGACAGTCAAAGAAGGCCATGCTAAAACCACTATTGTCCAAGAGTGACTATGTTCCCTATGAGGAGTAACATTGAGGCTGCACACTTCAAGTGAAAGAGTCACTTAAATTATCCAGCCATTCCATTTAAAAAATAACTAAATGGCAACAAAAATACATCCTTAACATGGAGGGAAGGGATCAGTGTGAAGAGTGCTGCCAAAATTATCTAAAATGTCCATTAAAAAAATACAAGATATACAAAGAAACAGGATGGTGTAATTCATCCACAGGAAAATAAAGCGAGCAATTGAAATTGCCTCTAAAGGGCCAAGGTGCCAGACATAGAAGACAAAGATTTCAAATTTGTTCAAAGAACTAAAGCAAACTAGGCCTGAAGACATAGACAAAGGTATGATGACAATATCTCATCCAATGAGAATATCAATAGAGATAGAAATATTAATAAAGAGTCAAATAAAAATTCTAGAGATGAAAAGTGCAATTATTGAAATAAAAATTACTACAGGTCTTGTATTTGTCCATTTTTATACTTCTATGAAGAAATACCCAAGACTGAGTAATTTATAAAGAAAAAGAGTTTTAATAGACTCACAGTTCCACATGGCTGGGGAGGTCTCACAACTATGGCAGAAGGCAAAGGAGAAGCAAAGTCACATCTTACATGGTAGCAGGCAAGAGAGATTGTGTAGGGGATCTCCCCTTTATTAAATCATCAGATCTCATGAGATTATTCACTATCAAAAGAATAGTATGGGAAAGACCCAACCCCATGATTCAATTATTCAATTACCTCCCACTGGGTTCTTCTCATAACAGGTGGGCATTATTGAAAATGAGATTTTGGTGGTGACACAGCCAAACCAAATCATTCCTGGCCTCTCCCAAATTTCATGTCCTCACATTTCAAAACTAAACATGCCTTCTCAACAGTCCCCCAAAGTTTTTATTACTTTCAGCATTAACTTAAAAGTCCACAGTCCAAAGTCTCATCTAAGACAAGGCAAGCCCCTTCCATCTATGACGGTAAAATCAAAAGCAAATTATTTACTTCTTAGATACAATGGGGATACACATACTGGGTAAACACACCTGTTCCAAATGGGAGAAATTGGCCAAAACAAAGGGACTATGGGCCCATGAAAGTCCAAAATCCAGAAGGGCAATCAAATTTTAGCTCCAAAATGATCTCCTTTGATGCCATGTCTCACATCCAGATCATACTGATGCAAAAAGTGGGTTCCCATGGTCTTGGGCAGCTCTGTCCCTGTGGCTTTGCAGGGTAGAGCCCCCTTCCTGGCTGCTTTCACTGGCTGGCTTGAGTGTCTGTGGCTTTTCCAGGTGCACGGTGCAAGCCATTGGTGGATCTACCATTCTGGGGTCTAGAGGATGGTGACCCTCTTCTCACAGCTCCACTAATCAGTGCCCCAGTGGGGATTCTGTGTGGGGGCTCCCACCTCACATTTCCCTTCCTCACTGCCCTAGCAGATTCTCCATGAGGGCTCCGCCCCTGCAGCACACCTCAGCGTGGACATCCAGGCATTTCCATACATGCTCTGAAATCTTGGTGGAGGTTCCCAAAACTTAATTCCTGACCAGAGACCCTAAATCATCTCTCTTAAGTTCAAAGTTCCACAGATCTCTAGGGCAGGGGCAAAATGCCACCAGTCTCTTTGTAAAACATAGCAAGAGTCACCTTTATTACAGTTTGTAACATGTTCCTCATCTCCATCTGAGACCCCCAGTCTCTTTCTAAAACGTAGCAAGAGTCACCTTTATTACAGTTTGTAACATGTTCCACATCTCCATCTGAGACCAATCATCTCCATCAAACACCACATGTAGGCTGCAAAGGCTTCGGGCTTTCGTCCTCTGAAGCAACGGCTTGAGCAGTATATTGGCCCCTTTTAGCAATGGCTGTGACAAAGGGCATTAAGTCCCCAGACTGCACAAAGCAGCAAGGCCCTGGTTCCAGTCCAGGAATCCATTTTTCCCTCCTATGCCTCATGACTTGTGATGGGAGGAGCTGCCATGACAGGTACTGGAGACGTTTTCCCCATTGTCTTGGTGATTAGCATTTGGTTCCTTGTTACTTATGCAAATTTCTGCACCCAGCTTGAATTTCTGTTCAGAAAATGGGTTTTTCTTTTCTACTGCATAGTCATGCTGTAAATTTTCTAAACTTTTATGCTCTGCTTCCCTTTTAAATATAAGTTCCAATTCCAAACCATATCTTTGTGAATGAATAAAACTGAATGATTTTAAAAGCACCAAAGTCACCTCTTGAACACTTTGGTGCTTAGAAATTTCTTCCACCAGAGACCCTAAATCATCTCTCTCAAGTTCAATGTTCCACAGATCTCTAGGGCAGGGGCAAAATGTCCCCAGTCTCTTCCTAAAATATAGCAAAAATCACCTCTATTACAGTTTGTAACATGTTCCTCATTTCCATCTGAGACCACTTCAGACTGGACTTCATTTTCCAGATCACTTTCAGTATTTTGGTCAAAGCCATTCAACAAGTCTCTAGGAAGTTTCAAAATTTCCAACAATTTCATCTCTTCTTCTGAGCCTTCCAAGCTGTTCCAACCTCTGCCTGTTATCCAGTTCCAAAGTCACATCCACAATTTTGGGTATACTTCTAGCAGTACTCCACTCTACTGGTATCAATTTACTGTATTAGCTCATTTTCATACTGCTATGAAAAAAATCCAAGATGGGGTAATTTGTAAAGAAAAAGAGGTTTAATAGACTCACAGTTTCACATGGCTGAGAAAGCCTTATGATCATGATGGAAGGTGAAGGAGGAGCAAAGGCACATCTTACATGGTGGCAGGCAATAGGGCATATGAGACTTATTCACTGTCTGGAGAACAGCATAAGAAAAACTTGTCCCCATGATTCAATTACCTCCCACCAGGACCCTCCCAAAACACGTGGGGATTATGGGAGCTACAATTCAAGACAAGATTTGGGTAGGGACACAGCCAAACCATATCAGGGTTCAACAAGAAATTTGAGCTAACAGAAGAAAAATTTAGCACACTTGAAAATCGATTATGAGATTATGCAACTAAAGAATAAAGAGGAAAAAAGTAGGAAAAATGAATGACCAGAGCCTCAAAGAAATGTGGGACACTATTAAATGTACCAATATATGTCAGATGGGATTATCAAAAGAGTGAAGGGAGAAAAAGAAACACAAAGGGTATTCAAAAAATTATTTCCTAAAAACTTTGCAAATTTGGTGAAAATTATTAATTTACACATATAAGAAGCTCAGTGAACTAGAACTAAAATAAACAAAGAAATCCATATGCAGATATATCATCATAAAAATTTTGAAAACAAAGGCAATCAGCAAATCTTGAAAGTCGCAAAAGAACTCATCACATAGAAGTGAAACACAAAATTAACTATTCACTTCTCAATAGAAACTGTGGGATCCAGAAGGAAGTGGAAAGAAAAAAGAAAATAGTAAATCAGTAATTGTATATCTAGCAAAGCTATCTTTCAAAAATAGCGGTGAAATAAATACATTCACAGATATATCAAAACTGAGAGAATACATTGCCAAACCTCTCTTACAAGAAATTACAAATGTAGTTCTTCAGACTGAAAGCAAATAACCACAGAGAGTAATTTGAATCAACATAAAGAAATAAAGGCTGGGTGTGGTGGCTCATGCCTGTATTACCAGCACTTTGGGAGGCCAACGCGGGCAGATCATGAGGTCAGGAGTTTGAGACCAGCCTGGCCAACATGGTGAAACCCCGTCTCTATTAAAAATACAAAAATTAGCTGGGTGTGGTGGCAGGTGCCTGTAATCCCAGCTACTCAGGAGGCTGAGGCAGGAAAATTGCTTGAACCCAGGAGGCAGAGGTTGCAGAAAAAAAAAATAAAAGAAAGAAAGAAATAAAGAATGTTGGTAAAGGTAATTACGTATTTATGGAAGACGGTATATATATTTCTTTTCTCTTCTCATCAGATTTAAAAAGCAATGATAGAAAATAATATGCATATAATTTCATTGCTATGACTATAACAAGTGTAAATGCAGTATATTTTTAATAACAGCAGAAAAAAGACAGGTGGGAGAAAAGCCATATTGAAGTAAGGAAGTAACACCAAATAGTATTTAAATTTACAAGAACAAATGAAGAGTAGAAAAATGTCATAGAAGAAAGTTTGTGTAGAAACCTATAAATATATACTTTCTCTGCCTTCTTATTTCAAGTTTTAAAAACATAAAATTATATAAAGTATAAACTATAACAATGTATTGCTGAATTTGTCACATATATGGATGTAATGTGCAATAATAAAGAAGGAAGGAGGGAGGAATAGAGTTATGTAAATATAATGTTTCTATACTTCACTGGAAAAGCCACTGTGAAATTGAAAAAGATTCTGAGAAGTTAAAATGTATATTGAAACTCTTAAGCAGCCACTAGGAATAAATCACAAGGGAGATTAGGAAATATTTTGAGATGAATAAAAATGAAGACCCAACTTACTAATACTTAGAGGAAGCAGCAAAATTAGTGCTTAGAGGGAAATTCATAGCTGTAAAATGCCTTTATTAAAAATAAAAAAGCTTTCAAGTCAATAACCTATTATTTCTCCGTAAAACATTGAAAAAAAGCGTATTAAATATAAAGCAATTAGAAGGAAAGAAATAATAAAGATTAGAACAGAAATTAATGAAATAGAGAAGAGAAAAGCAATAGAGAAAAACAATAAAATTAAAATTTGGTTATTTGACATGATCAACTAAATTGGAAAAACTTTAGATAGACCAAGTGGGGGAAAAGGCACAAACTGGTAAAATCAATAATGAAACTGGAGACAACACTATTGACCTTATACAAATAATAACTGCCATGAGGTAATACTATGAACATTCTATGCCAAATATTTGATAACTTAGATAAAATTAGTAAATGTCTAGACACACACAAACTACTGAAATTGACTCAAATGGAGATAGAAAATATAAATAGACTTATAACAAGTAAATTGAATGACTTAGTAAATTAAAAACTTCACACAAATAAAAGCAAGGAACAGGTGACTTCTACCAAACATACAAAAAATAATTAATGCTTGTAATTTGTGACTTCTCTTCCCTTTATACATAAAAAAAGAAGAGCAAAGAATATTTCTCAATTAATTACATGAGGCTAGTATCACCCTGACATCAAAGCCAAACAATGATGTCTAAAGAAAAAGAAATGTGCAGACCAGTATCTCTATTAATAGAGTTTAAAAAATACCCAAAAAGGCACTAGCAATCAAACTCAATAATATACAAAACTGATTATATGCAATAACAAAGTGGGATTTATCATAGGAATACAAGGTTAACTTAACATCTAAAAATCAATTAGAGTAATATACCATATCAAGAGAATAAAGGAGGAAAAAGTATGTAACAAATCCAACATCCTTCTATGATAAAAATACATGCAGATACATACAGAAACAGAGACTTCTTCAACTTGATAATAGGTATCTATGAAAAATCTACAGCTAACATCATGCCTAATGGCGAAAGACTGCATACTTTCCCCTTAAGACCAGGCATAAAACAAGGATATTTGTTCTTGCCATTTCTATTCAACATTGTACTGAAAGTTACAGTCAGGACAATTAGACAATAAAATAAAATAAAATATAGCCAGATTGAGGATGAAGAAGTAAAAGTATTTCTATTTGCACATGACATAATCTTATACATAGACAATCCTAAGGAATCCACTGAAAAACTCTAAAAATAATAAATGAGCTCAGCAAATTTGGAGGTTTGGATGTTACAAGAGCCATATACAAATATCAATTGTACTTCTATACAAAAAATTAACAATATAAAATTGGAATTTTAAAAGATTTTTGTTTATAATAGCATCAAAAAGATTAAAATACTTAGGATTGTATTTGATCAAAGAAGTTCAAAATTTAGACTCTGAAAATTATAAAATATTGTTTAAAGAAATTATAGCCGACCCAAATAAATGAAAAGACAACCCATGTTCATGTATCAGAAGACTTAATATTGGTAAGAGCTGTATTTCCCAAATTGAGTTGCAGATTGACTGCTATCACTGTCAAAATCCCAGTTGTTTATTGTGCAGAAATTGATAAGATGATCCTAAAATTCATATGGAAATTCAAAAGACCCAGAATAGTCAAAATCATCTTGAAAGAAAAGAACCACTTCACGCCCACTAGAATGACTATAATAAAGGTAGATAATAACAAGGGTTGGTGAGAGCAATTGGAACACTCATGAATTGCTGGTAGAATATAAAATGGTGCTCACACTTTGGAAACAGCATGGCTATTCATCAAAATGTTAAACATAAAGTTAGTGACCCAGTAATTCCACTTCTGGGTAGATACTAAAGAGAAATAAAAACATATCTCCACACAAAAACTTGCACCTGAATGCTCATAGCAGCATTATAAAAACTAGCCAGAAAGTGGAAACAACCCCAAAACAACCCAAATGTCTATGAACTGATAAGGAATGGATATATAATAGGTAAAGAAAATATGATAGAGCCATACAATGAGACATTATTTGTCAATAAAAAGGAATGAAGTACTGATATATGTTACAATGTGTTTGAACCTTAAAAACATTATGCTAAGTGAAAAAATCAAGTCAAAAAGACCATGTAATGTATGATTCTACTTATATCCCACGTCCAGTATAAGCAAATCTGTGAAGACAAAAAGTAAATTAGTTATTTGCTTAGGTTGAGGGAGTGGGGAGAAATGGAAAGTGATTGCTAAGGGTACTTTTTTAAAATGAGTTGATGAAAATGTTCTAAAATTATGATTAGTTTGCACAGATCTGTGAATACACTGAAAACCATTGAAGTTTACACTTTACGTGGGTGAACCTTATGATATGTTAATACCAATATCAATAAAGCTGCTAAAATGATACAATGGTAACTTGCACTAAGTTGATTGATAGTAGAAGTGGTAAGACGTCAAATTAGTCAGTTCTAAATACATTTTCAACTAGAGGCAACGGATTAGATGAGAGAAAGAAAGGTAATAGATGAATTCAATATTTATGGCTTTGAAGGATGTAATTGACATTAACCTTGAAGAAAAATATTAGGTTTTAGTTAATACGCAAATATTTTGAAATTAATGCAATAGTAAGTGTGAGTTATATCACACAGGATCCTCTGTATTTCTTATTTCTAGTTAGATGTGATAGGCAGCTTCTATAATGTCTTCCAACTAGTTATCGCTGTCTCCTGATATTCCCTTTATTGTTTATGTTCCCTCTTTTTGAGCGTGTGCTAGACCTAGTGACTGGCTTCTTCTGAAGAGTATATGGTATAAGTGAAGAGGTATTGCTTCTGATATTTATATAATAAAAGACTCTGAATCAATCTGTCTCTTTTTCTCTTCCTCTCTCAGAGCCTTAGCTCTAATGAAGCCAATTACTGTGTTGTGAGCTGCCATCCTGAATGACCCACATGGCAAGGAACACAGGGCAGACCCAGGCAGCAGCTGGTGGGAAATTGAGGTCTTCAATCCAACAGCTTGTGAGGAGCTGAATCTTGCCAATAACCATGTGAGCTTGGCAGCAGGTCCACCCTCCAGTTGAGCCTTGAAATGACTGCCACCTCAGCTGACACCTTGATTGACATCTGTGAGAAATCCTGAACTGCAGGATCCAGTTATTTCATACTCAACTTCCTGACTTCATAAACTGTTAAATAATTAAAGTGTGTTTTAGGTCTTTATAGTCTAAGTAACTTGTTATTAAACAATATCTAAGATATCTGAATGTTAACTAATGCACTCAATTACTGAAGTAATTTACATAGAAATTTGTACTAAATTGGCAGGTGTTCCATATGATACCTCAAGATCTTGTTCAATTTCCAAAAAATGTTTTATTATTTTATTTTATTGTGGTAAGAACAATTAACATGATATCTACCTTTCTGACAAATTTTTAAGTACACAATATTATTATTGGCTGTAAACACAATGTTGTATGGCAGATCTCTAGAACTTATTCGTCTTGACTAAAGCTTAATGCCCCTTGATTATTAAATCGTCTTTTCTCATTTCCTTCAGTCCCTAAAAACCACCATTCCACTCTTTGATTCTACCAATTTGACTGTTTTAGATACCTTATATAAGTGGAATTATGCAGTACTTGTCTTTCTGTGACTGGCTTATTTCACTTAGCATAATGCCCACAAGGTTCATCCATGTTGTCACGTGTTACAGAATTTCCTTCTTTTTTCAATGCCTTGGTGCTTCAGGGTTTTTTATTACTGTGATTAAATCTTTCCTGCACATGTGGATCCACTCTTGAGTGTAAAGATTTTTTTATTTGTTATTGAACCTCCAAAATACACTATTTATTCATTGTGAATTTTTGTTGCATATTTGTTCACAATTTTGTTTTAGTGTAAATATCCTTTTCTTCTCTAAATTCCCTACCTTTAAATACCCTATAAGTTATTATCAGTTTTTTTCTGCATTTGTGGCATAATACAAGGCTGTAAACTGGATAATCCAGTAAAAATACTGTAAAGCATTGTCAACATTGAAAGGAAGCTCTCTCTCAGTTTCATTTCATTATACTATTAATTTGTTATCATATTACTTTATTTCTTTTTAATATGACACATACATAGCTGATTGAGTGTGCAGCCTATTATGACACTTAAGGATTTTCCATAGTGTCTCTTTAATAGATTTGTGTTTTTATGAGAACAATTTAAATGTCAGCATTTTTTACTTAATGTATATTGTGTAATTATGAAAAAAGTTATATAGATTTCATAAATATGTGTAGCTTTTTAAAATCAGAATTTAAAATCCTATGTCTTTATTTCAAGAATCTTCACTTAGTCATGAAAATGATACCAGACTGCTCAATAACACAGCAAGTAAAATTCACATCATCATTGAAAATGTCAATATTAAGGACAAAAACTTGATACTTACCCCTTCAGGATATTTCATGTCTGCAACTATTAGTGAACTGAAAAGCCCTACTGGCTTGAAAACTTTAATGAGTTTATATGTAAAACTTAAAACAACAAAATACAATTTTTAAACTTTTTTTTCCAGTCTATTGTGGAATAAAGGTAAACAGTTCAGTGTATGGTATATGCACTTTTCTTTCTATGGCTGGAAAATAGCTGTAGGTTAAATTGGGAATAAGTTTTGGTAATTTTTTTTATTAGTGCTTTCATGTTGGCCAGTGTTTCTAGTTCTCTTTAGCCTTCATTCATCTATTGTTGTTATTGAAGCTTTGCATCTATTTATTGACGTACTCAAGCAACTGAATAGCAGCAAAGATCTATGAGTTATTGAAGGAAAAAGAACCAAAAAGTATTTTTCTCCACCCTACTGCCATACTAAGAAGGGTATCTTGTAACTGCCATATTTCGGTTGACTATGCTTGTCATTAGACTAAGATCCTGTATACAAACACACACATATACACATGACATATATGTGCATGGAGTAAGCATAATACATCCACACACATGTACACCCCCACTGCATACATTGGTGCTCATGGATTAAGCATATACATACACATAACTCCCACATGCATATACATATTCACATGGCATATGTGTGTGTGTATGGATGAAGCAATAACAATAACAATGTTTTATATTAATAAAGTCTCTTCCAACATGATGAAATGTGGCAATGTGTTTCTCTCATGATTTTTAAACATATTACAAGAGAAAACAAACTCCATCCGGAAACATTTCAGAGAAATTCCACAAATGAAACTACTCAGATAGATTGTATTTAAAAAATACAATTTTTGAAATATCAATATCAAGCTATTAATATATCTGAATATGTTTGAATCATTTTTGGAACTGCTATGAGAACAAGTGTGCTTTTGAGACTGACAATCCCTCTGACAGCCAAGGTCATATCAAGGGATAATGAGGAATGTCAGAATAGAACTTAAAAAAAGGATTTAAAGACTTTTGATTTTTATCTGTATGAATTGTTCATTTAGTTTGAAAATATTTTCTCATAATTGCTTCAATTCCAGCTAGATAAGGATTTCATGATGTTCATTCCAAATTTGTGGACCGATGTAATCCACAAATGATCACAGAATTTTAAAACTGAAATTGATCAGTAGCATTATCTGGTCCAGTGCCTTTGGTTGGCAAATGAGTTGATGTAAATTAATTATCTAAAAACTTTGTAGTTTAGAGAATGAAAGAGCAAGTCATTACTATTTCGAGAGAGGAAAGTGAGATATAAAGACATTAAATAAGTTGCCAATTTTATCAGAACTTGTTACTAGCAGTCAAGACTAAAATTTACTCCACCAATATCCAGTTAGTGTTTCTGCTATCCTATCCTATCTTGATACTGTTGATGGCTCTAAAGTGTCAGCTGGATGTGAAAAGATAATAATTTAATAAGAAAGAGATATATCTCTTGGCTCTCTGGATAGCACACATATTGTCATGTTATGTTGACAATAAAGGTGGGGTTCTGAATGTCACTGCTTGAAGAGTCTTGAGTTTTATTGAGCTGAACTCCAGAAGGAAAAGGACAGTGTCATTTCAGTATGATATATGTTTAATGGACTTCATTTTAGTCGTAATATTTGGACTATGTAAAATACAATAAGATTTTTTACACAATATATTTATAGGAATAAGTGTAGTTTCTAGCCACGCTGACTAAACAAATGTAATTACTCTGAATGGACTCTAAATAGCTTTCAACATTTCATTACAAAGCAATTACATCTGAGTCTTCTCAGAGCTCTCAGCATGGCTCTTAAAAAAGAAATTACACAAACAGGTGAAATCAACCATTATGAAATATAACCTATATCCCTAAAACGCAAGGCTCTAGAGTAGGAGTGTAGTGGAATGAAGTGGGGGAAGTTTAAGACAGGTGATAAACATGTTTTATTTTCAAGGTAAGTGTCCTGAGAGAATTTAGCATGCTTACTCAAGGTAAGTTTATTTTTGAAATGGAAAAGATTTACTTAATTTTATAATGCTATGAAGCAGTACCACATTTATGAGACATTTCCTAAAAGTTAAGTAAAAAATGACCCCTTGTAAATCCATATTTTTTTTAAAAAAAATTAGGTGTTTTAAAAGCAAGATGTAATTGCATGCTCCTCTGTATTTAGAAAGGTCATAATTGGTTAATTAACACTATTGAATGCTTACTGTGTGCCAGCCGCTGCTCTAAGCACATTATGTATATCCTCCCAGCAATTCCATGAGGTAGTTGTTACCATTATCTCAGTTTTATAAATGGAGAAACAGACATAGAGAATCTAAGTCATTTGTTCAAGGTCAAGCAACCATCAATGGAAGGTGAGGATTCAAACAGATAATCTGGTGCCTGAGTCCTTGATCTTAACTACTTTTTATGTTTTCTACATTTACTACTAAGAATCCTGTGTGCAGATCTGACATTGGTCTGGGGATTTAGAGACTCAAAGAGTGATGAGCTATTAGCTTAACAACTGGGCATAACTTTGTAACATATCATAGTATTAATTTGACTTGCGCTATGCTTCCAAAGATGGCTTAAAACAACGAAAATATCAGTAAATCACACAGTACTAATGAATCACAACAGTTTAAGTTAGGAGTTCCTAACTAGGAACTAGGGTCTTTGCTGGATTCACAAACCCTTTGTGATTGTATGTCCCACTGGGTGAAGATGTGAGAATGTGCATCTGAGCATTTTTCAAGGGAAAATGTTTCTGTCTTTTGTTAGATTCTTAAAGGAATACATGGCTTAATTAACGTCTAGAGCAGGGATGAGCAAACTTTTTTTTGGTAAAGATTGAGATAAAAATATTTTAGGCTTTGTGGACCATAGGATCTCTTTCACAACCATTCAACTCCGCCATTGCAATGTGAAAGCAGCTGCAGGCAATTCGTAAAGGAATGAGTGTGGCAGTCTTCCAACAAAATTTTATTTATGAACATTTAAATGTAAATTTTATATAATTTTTACATGCCACAAAATATCACTGTTCCTTTGATTGCTTACTTTTGATTTGAATTATTAAGAAATGTTTTTAAAAAAGGCTTTCTTAGGTCAGGGATCATAAACAGCAAGTAGCACTCCAGAATTGGCTTAAAGGTCACAATTTTCCAGCCCCTCGTCTAGAGCAAGTGATTCTTAGTGTAGAATCATGGGGATCATCTGGGAAGTTTCTGAAATGCAAATTGTCAGGCCTCTCTGCAGATCTACTGAATCAGAAACTGTGCTAATGGACCAAGCAGTCTGTGTTTCAGAAGTCTTCTAGGTGAAATAGATCACACTAAAATATGAGAGCCACTGGTCTAGAGTCATGGCTCCAAACATTCAACTCATTCATTTCTTCCTTCATTCTTGCAACAAATGATTTTTTAAACTATTATTTAAAAAATAGTCGAGACCATCCGGGCTAAAACGGTGAAACCCCGTCTCTACTAAAAATACAAAAAAATTAGCCGGGCGTAGTGGCGGGCGCCTGTAGTCCCAGCTACTTGGGAGGCTGAGGCAGGAGAATGGCGTGAACCCGGGAGGCGGAGCTTGCAGTGAGCCGAGATCCCGCCACTGCACTCCAGCCTGGGTGACAGAGCGAGACTCCGTCTCAAAAAAAGAAAAAAAAAAAAAAAAAAAAAAAAAAGTTCAGGGCTATGTGCAGGTTTATGATATAGATAAATTGTGTCATGGAGTTTCAGTGTACAGATTATTTTGTCACCCAAGCGATAAGCATAGTATCAGACAGGTAGTTTTTCCATCCTCTCCCTCCACACTCAAGCAGGCTCCAGGGTTTGGTGTTCCCTTCTTTGTGTCCATGTGTACTCAGTGTTTAGCTCACACTCATAAGTGCCAACATGCAGTGTTTGGTTTTCTGTTCCTGTGTCAGTTTGCTTAGGATTATGGCCTCTAGCCCCATCCATGTTGCTGCAAAGGACATAATCTCATTCTTTTTTATGGCTGCATAGTGTTCCATGGTGTATATATGGACCACATTTTCTTTATCCAATCTACTGTTGATAGGCATTTAGGTTGATTCCATGACTTTGCTGTTGTGAATAGCTCTGTGATGAACATGTGTGTGCGTCTTTATGGTAGAAGCATTTATACTTCTTTGGCATATAACTAATAATAGGATTGCTCAATCAAATGGTACTTCTGTTTTAAGTTCTTTGAGAAATTGCCACACTGCTTTCCACAATGGCTATACTAATTTATATTTCCACCAGCAGTGTGTAAGTGTTCTCTTTTCCTCTGCAACCTTGCCAACATCTGTTGTTTTTGACTTTTTAATAACTGTTATTCTGATTGGAATGAGATGGTATCTCATTGTGGTTTTGATTTGTATTTCTCTAATGATTAGTGATGTTAAGCAATAAATTATTTTTGAATGGTTAATTATATTGCACCAAGAATGAAAGTTGTACTATTTTTTCATCTTCATAGATACAAGAGTAGTCATCTCGTAAAATAGGAGTTGAAAGCTTTCTGAAAATAACTTACTTTTTGAAATATATTTTCTATATAATTACATAATGGTCCTTTACATATACACACATGCCTGAAACAAAATATCACAAAGTTATATGTACCCTCAATACATGTGATGCACCCTGATATTATATTTTATTCTATTTCTATCATATTCAACCCAATACATTAATTTTACACTTCCACCACAAGATCACAACTTATAGTTCAAAAGATACCACAATAAAATGTGCTCACCAGTGCAAATTCCTTGTTGAGAATCATCTGCTCTACTAAAGATGACTCGTTGTGGAAGAGGTGGGGCTGCATGTGGCTCCACATGTGAGGAAACCACCAGAACTCATCCACAGACCGAAGTAAAAGGTCATCTCCTTCATCTTCCTCTTCAGTCCCTTTAAAACATAAAGTTAAAAATAACTTTAGTGAAAATTTCTTACTATCTTAAAGGTTATTTTTGTCAGATTTATGTTAATTTTTCATGCTGCTGATACATATATCCAATTCTGTGGGCTTTTTAAATCAGAATAAAAGACCACAGTCTAAAATGAATCAAAGGCAAAGGGACTTGGGATTAGGATGGGGTGAGTAGGCATGGCTGGCACCAGGTCAGACAGTTGTTTAATTTAGAATTTAAGGGTATTTTATACTCTTACATATATGTTATACCCTTATATGTATTTTATACCCTAACATATATTTTTTACCCTTAAATGTTAAGGGTAATTCTCAAATAATTGGACATAAATTTTAACTCATAACATTTGTTAATTTTTTTCTGATTACATAAATAATATATGTTTATTAAAGAAATGTCAAAAGCACAGGCAAGTAATACACAAAGCCCAAAAACAAACACAAAAACAACAACAAAAAACCTGTAAGACCATCTTCTAGAGCTAACCAGTAAAAACATTTTTGTATTATTTTCAAAAATCTTTTTCTACTTATATTTTAAAAGTTTAGCTCTTGCTGTACTAATATTTTTGCATGCTTAAATTTTTCACTTAATGTTATACATATCAAATTTCCCATTTTAATATAAATATTTCATAAAAACTAAACAATGGATCTGATAATTGTTTATAATATGTGTGACTTGAGAATTTAAAACTAGTATCACTTTCTCTTCTTCTTTTGGGAAAATTTGTTAACAGCACCCAATACATAGGAAATAAAAACAAAAAACATTGTTATGCCACAGTTAAGAAAAAAAAAACTTACTTCTAAGAGAATTAATTATATTGCAGCTATCCAAGAATATCCACAAATGAAATGATAGAGTTTTCGTATGATTTTGTACAATTTTACTATATACAGCTGAATTTACAAATGTTGTGAATCGATAACATAAGAATTAATTCCTGCTTGCTCTCTTACTACTTAACTGTGTAAATAAGAGAATAAGTCCTGGCTTATAGTGTGGGTTGTATTATTTGGTTTATTCTCTCACAAAAGAATATGTTTTACAGATGGATGTTTGATTTTTTATTTTTATTTTTTACTTAAATTTAGGGAATAAATATTAAAGATGGTTATAAGGATTTTCTCTGAATGTTCCATGTGTGTGTCTTAAAGATTTCCATGGTCATGAGAGTAGCTCCATGAAAGGATTAAAGCATGTATTTGGTGTCACTCAGTACTTGGAGCAGAGTCCCTAGTTTTGCCACTTAATTAACTATGTGATCTTGGACAAGTTAACCTCTCTAGGTCTTAGTTCCCTGTTTTAAAATAGGATTATAAATACCTGTTTTACAGGGTCTTAGTGAAGAGTTGATGAGATTAATTTATTAAAGCACTTAATATTGCTACTTGCAAGTAGTAAGCACTTTTTGAATATACCTTAAAAATTCTATCTATTGCTTTGTATTTGCTGTGTTTTGAATTTATATGTATTCACACTGTTTTAGAAACTTTGCCTGCGTAGATTATAAATTTCTTACAGTCAGGGACTGGATCCCTTTACCTTGTACTGTAACACGCCACTTACCCAGAGCAGTGAATAAATGAATAATTTAATTTAGTCTATATTTAACAAAGTCAGTAGATTAAGCAGCTTCACATGGCCACCAAAGTATATAGCAACTTCTTTCTTTTATGTATACTCACTGTTCCTGGAATAGAGTTCATAATTCATAATCTTTGAAAGGTATAAGGACCTTCAGGTTTAATTAGGGCTTTGGCACCTTCAATGCTACTACACAGAGTTAAGAAATTCTATTACTATTAGAAATTTTGAAAGTAATAAAGTCCTATAATTAAGATGAGCAGAGGATTTCTTAATTTTTGTTTTAGCTAACAGTGTTAGTATTACTGACTCATAATTCATTGACTTTTGTTAATATATTAAGAATATGAAATATTAAAATTCAAAAGAAGAAGAGTTTACCACTTCCTCAGATGAGGTGTTTATATGTTTCTCATGGTCATATTTTAGCAAATTGAGGCACAGATTAGAAAGAGTTACATTATGTCACATATGATGAAAGAATTGATAGTTCTCCCACCCTCCTGGAATTGTCTTGTGTGCTTTGAATACAGAGTGTTTGAAAAATGCTTCCATTCATTTTAAACTCTGCTGATCATTATTGCAAGTGGCAGGAAGCACATAATGCACACTTGACCAGGTAGGAGGTCAATTACTCAATTTAAAGAAAATTTTGTGGACTATTGATAGAAACAGATGCATGACTGATCATAAAATCTTAGCAATTTTTATATTAGAGATTATGTTAATTTATAAACACCCTCAAAAAAGCTGAGAGTAACGTTTAAGACTTTCCTTTTGTTTGCATCATGGATTAATTTTTGTCAGCTTTTCTCTTGTTTTATGCTGGTCATATAATTCAAAGCCACATGAGGCAAACCTTTGACACTGGAAACAGCTTAATAAAAAATATGATACTAAGCCATACTGAGGGACAGCAGCAGAATCTCAAATGATTTCAAATCCAACTAGATGAAAGTATTACATTTTGGACTTCCTGTAAACATTTATTTTTCTGTACCTAATATATACTTAAATTATATGTGGAAATATCATTTGCAGTTTATATGTGACCAGATTAGCGCATTTATTTTTCTATACCTAATATATACTTAAAGTATATGTGGAAATATCATTTGCAGTTTATATGTGACCAGATTAGCACATTTATTTTTCTGTACCTAATATATACTTAAATTATATGTGGAAATATCATTTGCAGTTTATATGTGACCAGATTAGCATGTTACAGACCATTAAAATATCTGTGCTCAAATTAAACCTTTCACTTCTAATCTGATCTAGATCCTGGTCTAGATAATTATTAATGAAAAAAATACATTTTGCACTTATTAAAATTTTTTTTTTACATTTCCTAATTACCAATGAATAAAAAATGTTTTAATTCAGAAGTAAAATACATGAAGTTTGTTTCTTTACTATCACTTTTGGAGAATCTGTGTTGTGAGATAAAAGTATGCTTCTGAAATTTCTTTAAGTCTGCCAAAATAAGAATAATTTTGCCCTACAGGTTAATCTCCTTAAAAGTACAGTTATTAAATTAAGATATATATAATTTCAGTGTATTTATTTTCTCTTTTGTAAAAATTTCTACCTTATATTTGTGTAATTTGTATAAAATATAATTTCTAAATGTTGAGATATTTTCTAATTTTCCTTGTACATCGAACCTGGCATGGTTCCATATATGTGGGGATAGAATAAACTACTTTTTAATATTATACTAAATATAAAGAACTGTGGAATGATAAACATTGATTAAAAGCTACCTATGGTTCCAAAATTAGAAAATAGTGCCATATGAATTGTCTACTATTTACTTTTTGATAATATTTGAATCTTATATGAAAATAATTTTAAAATTAATAATAAACATTTACATAGCACTTGTAACATGCTAAGCATTGCTCCTAATAAAAGAGATATTATTATCCCCATTTGGTAGATATATAAACTGAGGCACAGAAAATTTAAGTAAACTGTGTTCAAATGCTGGCAAAATGTCAGAATCTGGATTTGAACATCAAGTTTGTTACCAATATCAGGTCTTTTAACTAATTCTCCACACAGAAAAGCAACATATGCAAAAAACAAAAAATCACAGAAGGGGTAAGAATGTAACACTCTACTTACTGTCATGCTTGAAAGTTAATGATTTTATAGAAAATGCTATTTTTCATAAAATAATCTCTCATGGAAAAGACCAATGTTAATTGTTAATTCAATTTGCAAACATTATTCATGAATTAATTATTGATTGGGTCACATTTAATTCCAAGGAACAGCAATGATTGTCACCAGAAATCATGTCCCTGGCAAAATACAGTGGGTAGCTCCTCTTTCAAAGAAGGCATCTGAATACTATAATGTCTCCATTTCTCAATTAAGCTTTTGTTATGCAATTCCATTCAAGCTCTAAATATTTCCAGACTAAGGTATTTCATTCTAAACTCCGTGCTTTTATTTTTTTCCCATTTAACCTGCACTACGTCCTTCCTCTTTCAGTTTGGCACCTGTGGGTGAATGACTTTAGGAAAAGCTTAGTGGTATGCCCTTTTGAGGTGAGATTGTTTTTAGCATGTGAAGGACAGAGAAACTGAACAGGAAAGAATACATGAGAAATACACATAAGTGAAGTAGCCTAAGAAATGCAGAATCAATCATTATTACACTGGGCCTATGTGATTAAATGTCTTCAAAACAATGAGGCTCATCCATCAGCATCCTCACGCACTGGGAAATCAGATCATTCTGGGAGAGAACAGAGACAGTCAGTCCGACAAGGCCATCTCCTCATGGTTACACATCACAGCCAAGTGCACATGTAAGGAATGCACCTCCTTGATTTGCAATTGTTTTTTCTAAAATGTGAAATCTCCGTATAGAAATGTGACAAGATAGGGGTAAGGCACGTCTTTCTGATATCTGAAAGGGTATCACGTTGTGTAACTCAGCTCCAGAAGAAACTTTGATATCCCTGAGTGCATTAATAAGTATTCATATAATTATGATGGCACTCTTGAAATATGTTATAGGTGCATTTCAATGATCCTACAAATGAAGTAAATATATCCATTAAATAAAAATGACATATTTATGTGAAAGAAATTAAACTTCTAAAATTTATAGATTTATAAATATTGCTTATTCTCTAAAGTGTACTATCACCACAGTATTACAACACAAACTATTCTATTGTTTTTGTTATACTGGTTTCAACACAAAGAGTCAATAATGCCTGCTTAAAAGATATAATTAAAATACATCTTTCTTTTTTACTGTCCTTCTTCAATAACTATTTCTGTGATACTGACTGGAGTGCTGCTCATTTCCCAGTGGTTGTGTACTCTATGCATGTTCAGTGTTTTAAAGAAGAAATGGGAAGTGGTGTATCCTCTACAACATTAACTTTGCAAATGTCAGGCACATTTAATAGGTCTGAGTATGAAAAGTAAATAAAAACTGAGGCAGTTATCCAGATATACTTCAGCCAAAAGAATGACTTTCCTTACAATCTACAGCTATTTAAGACAAAATAGTATTGTTTGTATGTGAACTCCAAATAATCCCATAATTTTTCCCCCTGCATGAGTAGATATAGCCTTTAAAGCTATCTGCTTTATAACTTCATAGTCAGAGCTTCTTTGGTCTGAAATCATTTCTTGAGGGAGTTTTGAAAAGATTTACAAAACCATGTCTATTTTCAAAATTGCAAGCTGAAATTGCTTTGCCTGTGCAGATATGCTGACCCAAATCTCTTTCTGCAAAACATCCTTTTAAAATATGAAATCATTTGATTTATCAACTCGTATACATACTAATTTTCCTTCTATTACTTTAAGCAGGTTTACATGTTTCAAAGCAGGAGAAAAAAAAGCATCAAGGAAAAGCCAATAAGACATTGTTATTTCAATATTCTAACAAACCATATTGAGCTTTTACATTAAAAAGCCTCATTTAGTAAACAAGGTATTTATGAAAACTAAAGACTACCTTTGAATAGAATATTTTAATAAGTTAATAAATTGCATACATGGATACAGAATAAATACTGTGAAATGTTTTCACTAAGGTGCTGTGAAACAACAACAGTGCAAACTTCTAAACAAAGCAATCAGTTCACAGCATGGATGCACAAATAGAAGCAGATTATAGGTATTCCCCTAACACAGGCCCCAACACATAGTTTAGTACTCTTTTTGTCAAAGACAATCAATTTTATTAGCATAGCTTTCTCTAACATGGTACCAGATATTTCAATGCTAATATTCAGAAAATAAAAAGTCAGCATTTTGGAGGTGAGGGTAAGTAAAGAAGTAAGGAATATCAGAACACAGCACATGAATAGCAATCACATTTTAAGAATTTATTTAGAGGGTGAGACTGAACATAAGTACAATTGTGGCTGGATAGAGATGGAAAGAAATACAAGTCTAATTGTGATGGTTTTAGTCTATGTTAGGCCAAATTAGTGGTAATATTGTTTTAGGGAAAAAATCCTGCAAGTGAAGGTAAACTAACAAGTTTAGAGTCTATTACATTTCATTGAGACCATAAAGTTTCTCTCTATCATCAGATGTTTTCCAAAGGAAAATAATATGTACAAAAGTATCTATCTCATCAACTATTTGATAATTTTAAAATTCTGTCAGTTATTATTAGTAGTATTCTCATTATCACTATTACTATGCCTTCTACCCATACTGTGCTGAGAAACAAGATGCACAGTCATACTCAGTACAGTGGTTATGCTTTCTATTTTTTAAAAAATGAGTTGAAAAAGTCAATTCTCTTTCTCTTTTGCCCTTGATTTTAAACAGTATTTGCCAAGGTAAATATGCTCATTGATTTTGGATTTGGCTACTCAAATAATGTGCCCAAGTTTTTCCCATAATCAATCTGGAGAATCTATCTCTACCACTTATGAATCATTCAAAATTTATTTCCTATTTATATGTAGCTGCCTGAGAACACAAAGCTCCTTCTTACCTGTGTGGTAAAACTTCCCTGAAAATCCAAGGTTGAAGGTAAAATTTGCAACCTGAGTGCGCAGTAAATTTTGAGTCTCTAGTAATGCCTGAAATAAATAAGAAATTAACATGATTTTAGAAAAATAAATATGAAGTTTTGGGATGCCTCTTTTGCAAATGTGTATGCATGAGTAAAACAAAATGATATGAGCTTTCTTGTTTTTGATGGGTACTGTTATGTAGTATTCGTATTTCAGGTATTATAATTATTATAGTCATTATTTTTATTGAAGGTCACCATATTATGAAACAGTTAAGTCCTAAGCACATTTTGCATTGCTGAGAGGCAATTGTCCAACTCCACAGCACTGAAATCATTTTTCATTTCTGTGTGAGACATTTCTTGAACTTTGGATTATTATACTTCCTTTATGTGGTGAAAATTTTTCAGAATTGTTGAATGCAGACAAGTCCTGTTTTCATGGTAAGCAATAGGAGGAGAACTTTTGTTTGAACTGCAATTTAATATTTTATTTAACTGGGCCACCTCCCTCATCATTTTTAAAGGCATAATTATTAAATTGAAAGCTTGGGTTTTTACCTTACAAACTACAGAGCAATGTGTATTTTATAGGACATTGCTTGCAAACCTAGTTATGAAAAAGGGAAGAACATGTAAAAATAGATACCCCTTTTTGTTACTAATTCCATAACAGAAATTTTCTAAATGTGACAAACATTTCCCTAGTTTCTAGATTTGGAATTATACTATGTGAAAGTCTGGTTTGTGGACAGGATAATAACACATTGCTAATAATGACACAGAATTAGTTATGTAAATTTGTTGCCAATCCTTTCACCGCCATTATTCCTATGTCAAAATTTGTAGCATAATTCAGAACCCTTATATCCTTGGGCTTTTTAGTTTGCTTACTGGTATGCATATTGATTCAGAATGCTTTTTCTATTTTTAATGGATTTTTAAAGAGGACATACTTTGTTCTGATTAAAATGAGAAGCTAATTTCAAACAAGAGATATTAATAATAAGACTGATTTTTGATTACTCCTATCCATCTGTTATGGAGACTAAGGAGTCAGAGGTTAAACAATTTTTTCCATTAGTCATGGTGGCTAAGCATTTGTTTCAAAGACTTGTGAACCTAACTGTTTATTCCTTTACAATGAAAGGAGTCTCCTGTACATTAGTTTAATTAAAAAAATGACTAAGTAACTAAAATGTTGATAAAATATATAGTCAATGGTTATCCAAGACCACAATTAGACTGGGTGTTATCATGTTCAACATTATTAAATATTATCAACTAAGTAGACAAAGGCAGAAATAGAACCACTAGCTTAACTGAGTTCTACAAAATATTAAAAATACATTTCTCATAGAGATTAAACTAAATATTAAAAACAGTTGAGATAAAAAGTGCATTGAACTAGTTGAACATATTGGTAAATGCTCTGGAATACAGCCTTAAAATAAGAATATTATGCATTATTTCCCTTAGTGAGTTCCCTTTTCTGGCTTTTTTTTTGGCTGTATTCCATGCACAATTTCTTAGTCTCCTTATCTTGATTTTTAAAAAAATTTCTCCCGTCTGCTATTCCCCTCACCACTCCAATTTCATCCACTTATCTTTCTTCCTCTAAGTTCTTGAAGTCATTCATTATTCTGCATTTATTTATCTGTGAAATGGGGTACTTCTGAAAATTTATTTTATACTCTTATTAGGAGAATTACATTGGGTAAGGCATGCAAATTGTTTAGCTAAGTGTCTGGCAAGTAGCATGAGCTCAATAAATACTATTACTGATAACTGAGTCTATCATTCTCTCTCCATCAGTTAGGTATCCTTGGTGCCTCCAACACCCATTGCTATTTCCTGCAAATCACCATGTACTCTGGTTAAACTTAACTATCTCCCACCTCCTACATTTCCCAGTGCTATTTCTCTCTTTATTCTCTTTGCCTAGAAAGCCTCCCCAGCTCCCAATGCCATTTCCCAAATCCTACCAATTCTTTATATCTCCGCCCAAATGTCAACTTTTTGTATAAAGCCTCCTCTGGTACACCAAAGTAGATTCCTAAATTATTTTCTTAAAACTTGCATTATTTTTGACTTTATTGCATCCATGCTCTATCTCATGTTTTCCTTTAGTCTATGCACCTGAAGCTCCATCAAACCTTATTCATTTTCATGTATCTCATGTTACTGGTTTTTTTTTGCATTTAGTAACATGAGATACATGAAAATGAGTAAGGTTTGATGTATCCAAAGTATGATAAAAGTACATACTAATACACAGCAATAATTGGATTAGTTTCATTTATTTTTAATTTTTAATTTTTGTCAGTAACATTTTTCCAATGGTAATATGATAAACATAGTTCATGGGCCATACCACAAGATGATATCAGAACAATATAGATAGGATCTAGCATTTCACCAGGATGTTTTATAACACAGATGTTTTATAGCCTTGTGTCATAGATCTCTAAAGCAAGTTCAGAGAGGCAAAGGCAGATGGGGGGCTAGTTAGCTATGTGAAGAACTTAACAGACCTTTTCATTGTTGAAAAAAAGAGCTATCTAGTCATGGCCTACTAACATGTAGTCTGGATTAATGAGGGAGTAAAAATGACAAATTCTATAAGTAAAAACAAAACGAATGAAAAAAAAGCAAATCTTAAAAAGTTTTCAAGGCTTCCTTGTTTAGTACAAGTAAATGTTCTTTAGTTTTCAAACTTCAGAAAAGTTTTCATGCCATTCAGTTACAAAGGAAGGGAGAAAAAAATAACAATGAATATACACAAAATGATTCAAACTAAAAAAAATCAGAAATAAATTTAAAAGAGAAAAGTGCTAAACCATACAAATTCAGAAGAAAAGTAGAAAGATGAAAGAATTCCAATATAGGAATAATGTAAAATGTCAGAAGAAATATTAGGGCAAAAATAATATGGATATAAATTTAAGAATAAATTAAGTACAAATTTAACTTATTCTTTTAAAACCCTTCAATTTTTAAAACCCCTTATTTTGGAAAAGCTTGTTAATGAGCTAGAAATAAAGTTTCTCAATTTGGGATACAAATAAAATAGTAAAGCTCAGGAAATACACTTTTTTCTACCTGAATATTTCGTGCGGAAACTTTAGTTTTGAATATGTGTAATAAAATGTGGCTGGGCATGATGGCTCATGCCTGTAATCCCAGCACTTTGGGACGCCGAGGCAGGTGGATCTTTTGAGGTCAGAAGTTCAAGACCAGCCTGGCCCACATGGTGAAACCCCTTCTCTACTAATAATACAAAAATTAGATGGGCGTGGTAGTGCATGCCTGTAATCCCAGCTGCTCGGGAGGCTGAGTCAGGAGAATCACTTAAACCTGGGAGGTGGAGGTTGCAGTGAGCTGAGATTGCGCAATGGCACTCCAGCCTGGGCGACAAGAGTGAAACTCCATCTCAAAAAATAAATAAAGAAATAAATAAAATAAAAATAATAAAATGCGTTTAGAGCTTTGACAATATACATTATTTATTTAATAGTCTGCATGACATAACAAACAATATAAATGGTTTTGAAATTTTTTCTTTTACTGCTTATGAAGAACTCACTAAGTTGATTGTATATTAAAGAGAATAAATATGTAACTTATTTATAAAAATCAATAATTTATTATTTTAATAAACATAACTTCCATTAATTCAATAGTCTCCTAATAAATTTCTTAGTATTTCAGAAAGGAAGTCTAGGCTGGGTGTGGTGGCTCACGCCTATATTACTAGCACTTTGGGAAGCTGAGCTGGGAGGATTGCTTGAGCTTAAGAGTCAAAGCCAGCCTGGGCAACATGGTGCAACCCCTTCTCTACAAAAAAATACAAAAATTAGCCTGGCATGGTGGGGTGTGTAATATACCTGTAGTCTCAACTACTTCCAGGGTGGGAGCGAGAGGATCACTTTAGCCCAGGAGTTTGAGAGTACAATGAGCCATGTTCATGCCAATCTGACAAAGCGAAAGAAAGAGAAGAAGAAAGGATGGAAGGAAGGAAGGAAGGAAGGAAGGAAGGAAGGAAGGAAGGAAGGAAGGAAGAAAGCAGGAAAAAGAATGAGAGTCCAACTTTGCCCCTATATAGCTACATACTGTTTGATAAAGCAGTAATGGTATTCAAACTTTATTATGTGTACAATTTTCTAGAGAAAATTGCTAAAATTGTCAATTCTGGGGCCCACTTCAGGAAATACTGATTTTTGTCTGTCATAATGCCTACAAATGTGCACTTCATCATATACTCCAGCTGGTTCTAATAAACGTCGAGCAATTATTTTCAAGTTGCCCACATGAAATGAATCACCAGCATGCTTGTAAAGTATCTACTCCCAGGCTTATCCTCTGGGGATTCTGAATTGGAGACTATAAAATGAAAACAAAAATCTGTTTTTAACAATGATTTTTATAGCTTCAACCTGGAGATCATCACCATTAGAACATTAGTGTCCTAATAATACTGAGTTAGTATACTATTTATATTAATTTCAAGGTGTTATGCATATTTCTTAAATCATTTGGATATTAGGTTGTTACTCTCAGGCTAACCCTTTCCCTAAATGTACCTAATAAGTCATGTGCATATTCACATTTTGATATAGTCTTTGATATGGTTTGGCTCTGTGTCCCAACCCAAATCTCACATCAAATTGTAATCCCCACATGTTGAAGGTGGGGCTTGGTGGGAGGTGATTGGATTCTGAGGGTGGTTTCTAAAGGTTTAGCACCATCTCCCTAGTGCTGTCTCATGACAGAGTTCTCA